>NC_000010.11:56658246-56809761 GCF_000001405.40 Homo sapiens
TTTTAAAAAATGTAGCTTGTGTTTAAAAATGGACACAAAGCAAATATTCTGTTCTATTTATTTCATTTGCTTTTCACAATATGTAAAATTTTTAAATAAATGGCATGCTTGAAAATTTAAAAAAAGAAAGAAAGACTCCACAAAACGAATAAAAAATGAATGAAATGGTAGTAGAAGGTTTATACCTATCAACAATTACCTTGAATGTAAATTAATTAAGTTATATTATTAAAAGAAATAGAGTAAATTTATGGATAAGAAACAAAACAACAATCCAAGAATCAATTGCATGCTATCTACAAGAGACTGACTTCACCTGTAAGGACATTAATAGACTGAAAGTGAAGAGATGAAAAAAGATATTCCATGCAAATGCATATCCAAAAATTAAATTAACTATATTCATATCAAATAAAATAGACATTAAGTCAAAAACTGTAAAAAGAAACAAAGAAGGTCCTTATATAATGATGAAAAGGTCAATTCTGCAATAGGATTTAACAATTATAAACATGAATGCAGCCAATACCACAGTAACTAAATTTATAAAGCAAATATTTATAGATATAAAAGGATAATTAGACCACAATACTATATCAGTAGAGGAGTTCAATACCCATTTTAATTAATGGACCACTCATTCAGGAAGAAAATTTTAAAAAGAAATTTAGCAGTTGAATTTAAACTGCACTCTATACCAAATGAATCTAACAGATATTTACAGAACATGTCATACATCAGCTGAAGAATACACATTCTTCTGAACTGTGCATGGAATATTCTCCAAGATAGATTATATGTAAGTTCCCAAAACAAGTCTTAACTAACCTAAGACACTCTGGATTTTCTACTTGATTCTTTTTAATTATTTCAATCTCTTTGTTGAATTTATTTGAGCTTCCTCAAACAACTATTTTGAATTCTCTGTCTGAAAGGTTA
The DNA here is from genome assembly GCF_000001405.40 of Homo sapiens. NCBI lineage: Eukaryota > Metazoa > Chordata > Mammalia > Primates > Hominidae > Homo > Homo sapiens. The sequence continues at coordinate 56,659,186 of NC_000010.11, forward strand.
CATTTCTCTATTTCTACAAAATTGATCCTTGGTGACTTATTTAGTTCATTTTGTGAGATTATATTTTCCTGGATAGTCTTAATACTTGCAGAGGTTCATCTGTGTGTTTGCATTGAAGAGTTAGATATTTATTGTAAACTTCTTAGTCTGAGAATGTTTGTACTGATACATCTTGGGAAGTCTTTCCAGCTATTCAAAAGGACTTTTAGTGTTATGATCTAAGCACTGTCTACTTCAGGTAGCAACATAAGCTCAGTAATGCTGTGGTTCTTACAGACTCATAGAGGTACTACCTTGATAGTCTTAGACAAGGTCCGAATAATTCTCTGGATTATCAGGCAGAAACTCTTGTTCTCTTCCCTTACTTTCTCCCAAACAGAGTCTCTCTCTCTCTCTCTCTCTCTGTTCTGAGCCACCTGGATCTCGGGATGGAGTGACACAAGCACTCCTGTAGCCATTAACATGAGGGCTGTGGTGGGTGAGACCTGATGCCAAAACAGTACTGGGTCTTACACAAGGCCTGCTGCAACCACTCTCTGGATACCACCTACATTTGCTAAAGGCCACAGGACTATACAATCAGCAAGTGGCAATGCCAGCCAGGCCTTTGTCCTTCTCTTCAGGGTGGAAAGTTCCCCCAGGTCTGAGATATGTTCAAAGTTTCCACCTAGAAGCTAGGGACTGTAGTCAAAAATCTTAGAATTGTACCTGCTGTTCTATTGTACTGCAGCTGATCTGGCATTTAAACCACAAGATGCAGTCCTTCCCTCCCCTTTCCAAAGGCAGAGGAGCCTCATCCCATGGCCACCACCACCACACCCTCATAGGGAGTCCTGCCAGACTACCGCCAATGTTCTCTTCAGGCCCAAGGGCTCTTCAATCAGTTTCAATCAGTTTATAATGAATGCTCTCTGGCCTGAGACTCACTCTTTAGGGCAATGGTCTCCCATTTGACCCAGGGCAGGACCAGAAATGTCATCCAAGAGCCAAGTGCCAGAGTCCGGGACCCCAAGATTCTACTTGGTGCTCTACACCCCTGTGGCCAAGGTGGTACTTTAGGTGCAATATAAAGTTTCCTTTGCTTTTCCCTCTGCTTTTCTTAAGTGGAAGGGGTCTCACCTCATTGCCATCACAGCTGGGAATGTGCTGAGTCTCACCTGAATCCAGCTAGTCTTAGAATCTCAGCAAAGGCCCTCAACATAGTACCTAGGTATTGCTACTGGTTATTCGGGACTCAAAGACTCTTCGGTTAGCTGGCGATGAATCCTGCCAGAACTGGGACTTTCCTTTCAAGGCAGCAGATTCCCTTCTAGCCCAAGTGGTGTCTAGAAAAATTGTACAGAGCTAGGGCCTTGAAAGGATATCTCGTGACTCTGACTGCTGCCCTATTTTGCTGTGACTGAGCTGATATTCAAGATGCAAGACAAAAGTCCTCCCTAGTCTTCCATCTTCCTTCCTCAAGCAGAGAGAAGTGGTCTTATTTGGAGCTACAAGTTCTGCAGCCTAGAATTAGGGAGAGGGTGATTCCAGCACCCTCTTAGCTACCCTACCTATTTTTTCAGTCTATTCCATCCTCCCTACCTCCCCCTGGTCTACTGTCTCTAGGCCCATTTCAGCCCTAGAACTTGCCTAGCTGTTGCAGTCTTTGTGGTCTAGACTGTCTTTCAAGTTTATTTAGAGTCCCAGAGCACTTTAGCCTGTGGTGGTGAGGCTTGTGGGAACTCAAGTTCCTACTTCTGGGATTGGCAATTCCCCTCTGGGCAGGGCTGGTATAAATGCCCCCTCTGTGGGCAGGAATCACCTGAGTTTGGTTTGATTTTGTTTTTTGCCATAACGTGGCAGGACTGAGTCAACCCCTCTCCCCAGCACATAGAAAGGCTCTCCACACTGTGTTGCCACTGTTAGGGGACAAGGGAGGGTTGGCATCAATGATTCAAGACTGTTTTTCTTATGACTTAAGCACCACTTTCAGTGATATGAAGTTAAAACCAGTTACTGTAAGTGCTCCCCTGGTTTTTTATTCTTATGAAGGTCCATTTTTGTGCATGTATAGATAGTTGTTAAACTGGTGTTTTTGTCAGGGAAATGATCGGTGGAGCTTTCTATTTTGCCACCTTACTCAGCATATCTATGTCTAATTTATAAATTTAACTTTATCATAAGTATGTATGTATAGAAAAATTTTATGGTATATATAGGATTCAGTACAATCAACAGTTTCCGGCATTCACCTGGAGTCTTCAAAAGTATCCCACATAGATAAGGGGAGATTATTGTACCTACTTACTTTCCACAGACAAATGACCTCAGGTCCCTAGCATTTGCCTTATTGCTATGGACCATGTCTTTTTTGCTACTATTTAAAGGGGCAGACTTAAATATTGTTTAAGAAAGCAGAGAAAATACAAAGAGCTGTTGGCAAATCTGAAATTGAAGTTAGGCGTAAAGTTTCTGTTCATGATCATACTCATCATTCAGGGTATAAAGAATGTCATACATGCACTCTATTCCTGATACTACATCAATGACAGTAATCAGCCTGTAAGTCTCTTTGCCTCCTCATTCAAGTGCAAAATTTTCAACATTTTCTACACAGTGATAGAGAAAAAAATATAACTGGACTGCTCTACATGAAACTCTAATTTTCAAATGGGCCAGAAGAAAGAACTTACGAAAAGCAAACAGACATTTTCTTTATATAGGTAAGATGAGTAGGTCAGTTTGTTTGGAGGAAAAGCAAAAATAGACAGTATGAATATGTGACTACATTTATGATACGCACAGGCTTTTGCTAACACCTAAACAGAGATAAAAATATTTACGAAGTAAAATTTTAACACAAATTAGATTAAATGGATATTGCTTTAATCAAACTGGTCTTTTCTTCCCATAAATAAAGGCAAGAAAATTCAAATGTTTTATTAACTGAACCAACTACAGCTTCCATTACCCCACATATTCCAGCATGCAAATAATACTATGGCACTCTTTCAGGAGTAAAAAATAACATCTGCAAGAATTATTTTTGTATTTTATTTATTTATTTTAGTTTTGAGATGGTGTTTTGCTCTTGTTGCCCAGGCTGGAGTGCTGTGTTGTGATGTCAGCTCACCACAACCTCAGCCTCCCGGGTTCAAGCTATTCTCTTGCCTCAGCCTCTTAAGTAGCTGGGCCTACAGGTGCACACCACCATGCCCAGCTAATTTTTCTATTTTCAGTAGAGACAGGGTTTCACTATGTTGGCCAGACTTGTCTCGAATTCCTGACCTCATGATCTGCCTGCCTTGGCCTCCCAAAGTGCTGGGATTACAGGCGTGAGCCACCATGCACAGCCTGCAAGAATTATTTTTTATAAAAATCTAAATACCTTAAATCTACCATTAAAGGAATTAATAAGGCAGCATCTTGAGGGAATAGCACCTTCTAATTCAATTGTGTACATGAGTTAATAAAACCATTTCTCAATTGCTTGTCTTCCTATGCACATCTTAACCATCCTCCAATAATGACCTTAAATCTAACCCCCTCTCCATGGATCATTGTGTGATTTTGCCATATTTGATTATGACCTTGCATTTATCTAAATGATATAACACCTAAATTATGCTTCTTTTTGAGCCCATATTATATTCTGCCACAAGTTATGTTTATATGTGCCTTTATCTTATTCTGCAACTGGGCTACTATTTTTTCCTGATTTATATTTCCATTTCCTATAGCAATGTTAAGGCCTTGCTCACCACAGTTACTCAATAACTCATCTGAAATGAAAGGTTAAGTGAATGAACTAAGCATAGCATTTTAAGTTTCAGTTCTTCTAATTTAACTCTGTTAGGTATCACCTTACTTGTCAAAAATCCCATGTAATTTTAAATCCATGTAGTAAAGATTTTTATTTTATCTTTATTCTTAAAGTTCAACTTTGAATGAACTAATAATTTTATAAGATTGTTATTTTCTCTTCTGGTTCTCTTTATACTGTCTAAGGATCAGAATAGTTTCAGTCTGTATTTGTCCTTAACCCATTGCACCTTATGGCTTTTTTTTTTTTTTTTTTTGCCACTGTCTCATGAGCCTCTGAAAAACAGAAACCATTTGGATATACCTCTTTCTCATATCACCAAAGCATATGGTATGATGCAGAGCATAAAAAATATTCACAATTGAATAGAACTTTCCCTTTTCAGACAATCAGTTTTTGCTTATTTAGTGAGGATATATCATCATAAAAGTTGTGTCTGTCAAGGTATTGGCAACCTACACTGTTACCACTTCCGCCCAGAGCTACCTAAACTAAGTAAATGGTGGTCCTACCAGCAGAAACAAAGGGGATTTGTAAGCTAAAATAAACATAGATGTGTTAGGGAGTTTTCAAGTGAAAGTAATAGAAAATCCCATCTTGAAATGGGTCAATAAAACTGAGAAAGGTTTACCAGCTTGATTGATGTAATGGCTCAACTGAATTATCAAAGATTTCATTTTGGTTTTATCTTAGTCTTCACTTCTAAACAATTCAAAATAATTGATGCAGTTGAGGAGATATAGGGCCAGGACAATAGTGAGGTAAGTGAGCGACTTGCCTTGGACACAAAATTAAAAGAGGCACAAAAGAAACTGCAACTAAGATGAACAAAATATTTAAACAATATTTTAAAACTTCAAAATTAATGTAAAAATACATAATAAACAGAGATAAACATTTTAAACAAAGACAGGATACATCAAAAAGCGTCCTATCTGTGCCCAGGATGCTTCTGCTTGCATTGACAATGACCACTGTTGCTTCCTTTAGCAGATAAGGAATAATTAACAAGAGGGGCTTGAAGAGGACAGGAAAGTTTCTCATTGGTCCCAACCTTGCCTTTGCTGAATATTTTACCTCCTCATCTCTCCCTTTATTAACTTCAGCTTAGTGTGTGAAGTTTAGCCTTTCCAGCTATGCCCTAGCATGCCTGGTATTTAAGACATTTTAAACATCAGGGAATTCAGCACATGGGTAGACTAAGCCTCTGTTAGCAAACTTTTTTTGTTGTTGTTTTTTGCTCTCTTCAAAAAGCCACTTTGGGATCAAGCTTGCTTTTTCCTTTATAATATAGTCCAATATTCTGGTTGTTTTTCACCAAGCTCCTAATGGTGTAGTTTCTGGACATAAAGTCTAATATCAAATCCATGCTTCAGTAGGCCTCATTTTAACTCTTTTGCTACCATAAAATAAGGATTGAAAACTTCCACATATTGTGGATAAAAGTTTTGTTTTTTTTTATTTTTTTGTCTTCTACCTAACTCCTTTACTTAATCAAGTTCACACTTTTAATGAAATTGAATGGGTCCTTAATTGTCCCATTCACAATTCCAAATCCTATAAAAATTTGGAATGTTCTTGATTAAGAGAAACAGCAAACGACTCAACCTGGCCTACTAATAAAGAGGACTGAATTGCTCATATAAAGTCCAGGAATAAGGAGACCTTCAGACTCACATTCAGGTAACCTAGCCATATAAAAGTAAGAAAGAATAGTTTGTTCATTTGTCTGTTTATTTTTTCATCTCTATCTTCTGCCAACTACAGTCTTGTCTTCTTCTAAATAATTATTTTATCATAGTCATGGAAAGGTTTATCACAATTGAGAATAATTGATTCCTAGTTCACAGTCAAAGGAAGGACAATCTGTTGTGACTCAACATTTCAATCACAATTACCACAGACTCACTCCTATTGAACTAGCTTAGATCATATGACTATTACTAAAGCAATACCTGGGAATGGGCTGATTGGCTTAGGCTATCAGAGCCTAGATAAAGAGCTGCTATATTTTACTTTCCCTTGAAGCATTTGGCATACTTGAGGGAAAGGTTGAGATACCCTAAAAAATAAATGGTTACATTTATAATTATGGAAGAGAAAATAGATTCTAGATATTCAACCACAAATTGCCACTGGGAAGAAACTAAGTTAATTAGATACACATATTTTTAATAATCAGATAAGAAAGAAAGCATACTAGGTCTTGTTTGATCACTGTAAGGAGGAACAAAAAAAAAGTTTGAGTACGCAGTTGGGCTCAAAAGGTAAGATTAGATTGCACTGACCTTTAAGTGCATATGACATTTTGTCATTAGAAAAAGGTCAGGATAATTATTTTTTTCTGGATTCTTAAAAGTTTTGTGTCATGGACTCCTTTGGCAGTTTATTGGATTTTATGTATTCCTTCATTAAGGAATGGTATATGTTTAATGCAAGGATCAAAGAAAACACACACACACACACACACACACACACACACACACACACACACATATATACACATATATGATTATAGAAAAACAATAATTTTATTGAAATACAAGTGATCTGTGGACTGCAGTTAAAAACTCCTGATAGATCAATGACTCATTACTGGGTGGAAGTCAAATCACCTAGATTTGCAGCATTCAAACAAATGAACAAAAAACTAGAGAACCATTCTAGGAATATTAAATTAGAATCTCTACATAAGATGCTGGCATGAGTAGTTCTCTTGTTTTTTCTTTATGATTATTATGTGATTCTAAAGTATAGTTATGGTTGAGAACCACTCATCTACAACAATATTTTTTAAACTTTATGTGCTTTTGAATAACCTGAGCATTTTGTTAAAACATAATCTGATCAATGGGCCTGGGATAGAGCCTGGAATCTTGTATTTCTAAATAGCTTTCAAGTAATGCTAATGTTTCTGGCCTATGAGGAACACTTGTTGTAACAAGGGGCCAAGCAATCATTTACTTTCTTGAAGTAAAATTGTTTTGCAAATTTATCCATGTTTAAAAGGCAGAATTATGTCATCTCGCCAGAGTTAAGAAGTCTTTTTTTTCCCATTATGCTTATTTTCTATTTTGACTTTTTCCTTGGCATGCTTATATATACAAAGTTTCATAAAATAAAATTTTCACTTGCTGAGTTTCTTTTCTGACATTATTATTTTATTTTATTATTGCAGAAAAATAGTTTTTTAGGTGTAGAAAAAAAGAATAAAAAAATGATTTTCTTGGTGTTAAATAGGGCACTTGATCAACGTTATAAATGAACCAGACCTAAAAGAGATATATGGAATACCCCACTCAATAAAAACAAATACTTTCTTTTCAAGTGAACATGATAAAACATATGTTAGGCCACAAAACAAGTCTCAGTACATGTAAAAAATTGAGATCATACAAAGCATCTGACATGATGAATAAAGGGAGAAATCAATAACAGAAAGAAAACAGAATTATTTACAAATATGTGGGGAAAAACAGTTCACTCTTTGACAATTTAAGTTTCTTTTAAACAAGGATGCCAAGAAGATTTAATACGGAAAAAACTGGTTTCTTCAACAAATAGTACTGGGAAAACTGTATATCCACACACAAAATAATGAAGCTTGACTTTCATATCATATAGAAATTAACTCAAAATGGACAAAGACCTAAATATGAGATAAAATTATAACAATATTAGAAGAAAACATAGGGATAAATCTTTATTACCTTTTATTTGGCAATGGATCCTTAGATATGACACCAAAAGCACAAACAACGAATGAAAATTAGATAGACTGAACTTTATGAATTAAAAACATTTGCATATCAAAGGACATTAAGAAAGCAAAAAGACAGTGTACAGATAGGATAAAATATTTGCAAGTCACATAGCTGACAAGAGTCTATTATCCAGAATATACCAAACACTCCTACAAGTCAACAACAAAAAGTCCAATTTATAAGACAAGAAGATTTTAATAGAGATTTCCCTGAAGAAGATATACAAATAGCTAACAAATACATGAAAAGATATTTAACATCATTAGCCATTAGGAAAATGCAAAGCAGAACTGTGTTAAAATCCAGCTTCACATATATTAGGAAAGTTATAATAAAACCAAAACAAAAATAAAAACAGAAAATAAGTATTGGCAAGGATGTGGAGAAATCAGAAACCTCTTACATTGCTGGTGGGAATAAAAGAATACAACTGCTGTGGAAGTTTTGTGGTTCCTGGAAAAGTTATATATATAAAATTACCACATGACCTAGAAATTCTACTGCTGGCTATATGTCCAAAAAGTTTTAAACAGAAACTTAAAGAAATACTTTTGTGTAAATACTGAATACCACTATTCACAATAACCAAAATGGTGAAAACAACACCAATGCCTAAAAATAAATGAATGAAGACTGAAAGCGTGGTATACATACAGTGGTTTATTATTCAACCATAAATAAAAATGAAGTACTTAGGCACGTAATATCATCGATTAACCTCAAAAAGAAAATATTAGACTGAGTGAAGGAAACCGGAAACAAAAGGTCACATACTATATGATTAAATGTATATGAAATATGCAGAATAAGTGCATCCAAAAAAATAGAAAGCCTCTAGGAAGCCTCCCCTTCCCCCTCCCCCTCCCTTTCCCCTTCCCCCTTTCCCCCCGCACCCTTCCTTCCTTTCTTTCCTCCCTCCTGTATAGAGAAATTAAGACTTAGTAAAGTGACTTGTCCAGGTAGCAGGTATCAGAGCCTGGACTCACACCTGTGCCTCTGTCTTGAGACCAGCAGGTGAGTGGGCACTGGTTGAGTAGCGTGTTTTCGCTCAGGTGGTCTTGCACCTGGCCACCCTGCGGGCCGGCGTGCTCTGTCTCTGCGGTTCACTGCACAGCGTGCATTCCATTCAGAAAAATAGAAGGGCTGGCGATAATGAGAAATAGGGAGTAACAGTTCAGAAAGTGTAGGATTTTCTTTTGGGATGATGAAATGCTTTGTAACTAGATAGACATTATAGTTGCACAATGTGCTAAATGCGAATGTACTAAAATTGTATACTTTAATTAATTTTGTGAATTTCACCTTAATAAAAAAGATTATGAGCCATTAAAACTTTGTCTTAGCCAAAATTTATTTTAAAATAAACTCCATATAAAACAAAAAACATACACTACTAGAAGAATACAGCATTTACAGTGCTTTAGGACAAATTTTCAAAACAAAAAGTAGTGAGAAAAGTTAATATTTAATCTACTTATTAAGTATGTACATTTCTCTCTTTATTCAAATGATTCCCATAACATGGTCACAAGATAGCATAATCACTCTAAAACAGATGGCCTCCATATCGTAAGCCATCTAGTCAAGACCTATTTTTGTCTAATGCAAGAAGAAGCACCATTTAAACAATGATTCTACCATGTTTCTTTCTTTTTTAAAATAAATAAAGGTCATGAAAACACTGTACTACTCTGATGTTCAATATAAGAGCCACATGTTATTATCAAGCTTTTGAAATGCGGCTAGACCAAATTAAGATTTGCTGTTAAGTGTAAAATTTTAATAAAATTTCAAAAAAGATTTCAAAAACGTAGTTCAAAAGATGGCTGTCAAATACCTCATTAACACTTTTATTTATTGATTGCATGTTAAAAAATACTATTTTGGATATCTCAAGTTAAATAAAATAAATTTTAAACAATATTCCTTTATTAATTTTTAACAAGAAACTTAATATTTGATGTAAAAATTAAGTCTGCAGATGGGTAATATATAAAATTCATAGCCTTCGGAAATGTCTGGTATTATGGACTGAATGTTTTTATATCTTCCTCGAATTGATGTGTTGAAATCCTAATCACCAAAGTGATGGTTTTAGGAAGTGGGGACTTCAAGAGATGAAGTCATGAGGATGAAACTCTCCTGTAATGGAATTAGTGCCTTTATAAGAGGAAACACAAAAGCGATTAACTTCTCCCTTCCTCATGTAAGGATGCAATGAGAAGATGGCCATTTGCAAACCAGGAAGCAGGTCCTCATTAGACAGCAGATTGGTGGGCACTTCCAGGCTGCTATAACAAAAATACTATACCATAGAAATTTATTTCTCACAGATCTAGAAGCTAAAAGTCCAAGATCAAAGCACCAGCAGATTCCATGTCTGGTGAGGGCTTCTTGCCGTTAACTTTAATGGCAAAAGGAGTGAGGAGTCTCTCTCCAGCTTCTTTTATAAGGACACTAATCCTTTTCATGAGGGCTCCACCTTCATGGTCTTGTCTAGTCCCGAAGGACCCACCTCTTAATATTATCGGCTTTGGAGGTTGGAATTTCAGCATATACATTTTGTGGGGGAGACACAAACATTCAGACCATAGCAATGTGACTATTCACAATATTTACAGAACTGTTAATTTTTAAAAATGATTTCCCTTGCAAAGGTATTTTTTAAAGGTAAGGCCTCAAAGAAGGATTGTGTTGGGTACATCTGACAATATGCATAGAAAATGCTCAAAAATAAATTTGTTTGGAGGTGGTATTTCTAAAAAGGCAGATCAAAAAGGGTTTGCATTTACTTTTTCCCCTTCCCACCTCCAAAATTTAGTATATGCTACTTAGAGGAATAAACTTGGTGAAGAAGGGAATAATATATCCAATAGTTGCTTTGTGTTTTCATTAAGTGCATTTACAGGTCCTGTGAGAGACAGTGCAACTCCCAAAAAAAGATGAAATCTAATCCCAGGGTTCTCATTTCACCCCAGAGAGAAGTAACTTGGGAAAGATAATGAACTTTCCCCATTTCCTCATTTTCTTTATGAGAACTTAACAATCAAAATCCCATGATATTTTCCTGCCAATGGGAAGATAGGCCTAACTTCTAGTATTAGGAAGAAAGAGTAAGAAGGAAAAATGTGTTGGCTCCATCATAAAACTTCTTGTCTCAATTTGGTAAGATATTTATCTTTGTCTTATGAACTGAAAGTGAATATCAAGTGGGAAAAGACTTGTCCTACATTTTCACAATTAAGATGAGTACTCAAGGAATATTATAGAACAATTATGCTAAGCATCTTTGGGCTTAAAAACAATAGAAAACAAAACTGTACCATAATACTTTTGATAGAGTTTATAGTGTTAGTTTTAATTAACTTAATAATAACATCAGAAGACAATTATAGACATGGCCCAAATGCTAGAAAGCAGGTAAAAATTCATTGATATTAATCTATGGGCTTCATACTACCTCTACTTCCTAATTTCCTGTTAATTATGTAGAGTCAATGGACATCTGCTGAAACAGTTTATACCAGTGTAATGCTTCATGAAGAAAGAGTATATGTCAATTTTGTTTATTGTTTTTAGCCTGTCTGACTCACATTATGTGTCAAAGTTTTTGAATTGTTAAACTAAGCAATTGTTCCTCCCAACATGTCATGAACACTAGCTGGTGTGAACTAGAATGAGAACTACAATATTTGGGGTTACTTCCTTTTGTAATACACATAATCTTATGTCCTGCACAGACTCCCAAATAATATCATCTAGGCTATACACAAGAGAAATGTTCACCCATTTGAAAAAGATATGACTGATGAAAGGTATATTTTTTCACTGAATAGAGCTAGAAACGTTGACAATCTGGAAATCACTCTTTATACCCGGTGCCACTGTCTTACCATTTATCTTGAGTCTACTTTCTACTTACCATCTATCTCCTCTTACACAATTCTAGGTCTTGAAGCCATCCTCTTTATATCAAAGTTATATAAAAGCCTCTAAACTGGTTTATCTACATCTGTTAATGCTTTATTCAAAACCTCCCTCATGGTACAGTAACAATGTCTTATTAAATTTGTTATTCAAGTTATTATTATGCATAAAGTTCTCCATTAACTTCTCACTCTAAGATATAGTACAAAATCCTTAATTCAATATGTGATCCTATGTCCTTATATGATTTCTTTATATGATCTAGCTCCCATTCACCAGGCTCCTACAGAATCAGTATTCCTTCTTCTTTACTCACCAGCCATATCAACTTTCATTTATTTCCTCTCAAATGTAACTTCTACTTTGCTTGTTCAAATACCATAGGTTTCCTATATTTTAATACCAATTCTTAGGCAGAGATCAGTGTCCAGCAACTTGAACTCCAACTTATGGCCTCTCCCAGCCTCAAAACTATATTAACTGCAGTAAAGGGCTCAGCCCAGTGATGAAAGAAGCATAAAGACTAGCCTCCATTCTGGACTAAATCCCAGGATCTGTGCATTTTTTTTCACTTGCTACGTAAGAAACAAACATTTTCCTTAAACGAATATTCAACAGCTAAGAGGAAATCAACTTAAAAGTGCACCACAATTAATTTTGCATTTTAGAAATCTGAGTATGTATAAGCAATTTACTAAATTAGTCAACATCACTAGTCATTGCTGTGTATCTACTCTTTTCCAGAATAATGTCCACCACTTCTCGAAGTCCTAATGTATGCCAGACATTTTGGTCAATGATTTATATATATTGTTCCAATTATCATTCATAACAGTCAAATGTGATGTTATTATCCCTATACTACAACTGAAGGGTAAGTAACCTAAGAAAACACAGAGTGAATACAGAACTCAATTCTAGTCTTAGGTGTTTACTCCAAGACCTTTCTCTCTTCCCTCTTGCCTTAGCTTTTTCCTTCTGTGGAAAATACTGCATTGCTGAAGACTTAAGTTACTTACAGCTCTCTTCTTAAAGTCAGTGCCTCTGCAGCAGTTGCATGCTGCCTCATAATTCCCTTGCATCATACCATTCTCATTGTACCTAATGAGAGAGGTGCCCATCTCTGACAACCCTAAGAATAGTGAATCCTGCAAACATTTCAATAAAACATGTATTCCTATAGAGTGACAAGTTCCCAGATGGAACCTTAATTTGCTTTTCTACAGGCAAACAAAAGCTCACTAGAAGCTTGTTGCTTTAAAAAGAGTCCACTAGAGCTTTCCAAGAGAAGAAGCATTGTCCTGAATTTTCCCTTCTCCTTGTAATAAAAGAGAATAAGGCATCCTTTATTATAGAAATAAGCCAAAAGAATAAAAGAAAAGAATGAGGCCATAATAATCCTTCTATCTATTTTTTCTTTATTTTTCTTTCCACCCTTGTATATGCTTGTCTCTTCTAATCACCATTGGATAAGATTCTGGAATCCCTACTAATTTTGATATTCATTTAAAATTCCAACTATGTATCATTTTTGTTATTTGTATCTCTTTGTTTATTGCATATTATTAGAGTTCAAATTTCTCTCATTTAATATACATATTTGAGTAAAAACTATCAGAAACTGAATCATCAGATTAAATAATAATAATAATAATAATTGTCTTATTCCTAAGAACATGCACTTAAAGGGCTGATCTTTGTATTCCCACTAATGGACTTCAGTAGGTAAATAATTTCTTTCTTGATCTCTCTTTATGAACACAGTCAGGGTCCATTACTTGTATTCTCTTGATTTAGTCAAAATTTCTAATCTGAAATGGACTTTTTTCATTATTTCTTATTAAATAAAGGTTTACTTATGGTGATGTTAATACTGAGTGTCAACTTGATTGGATTGAGGGATACAAAGTATTGATCCTGGGTGTGTCTGTGTGGGTGTTGTTAAAAGAGATTAACATTTGAATCAGTGGGCTGGGGAAGGTAGATCCACTCTTAATCTGGAGTGTACAATCTTATCAGCTGCCAGTGAATATAAAGTAGGCAGAAAAATGTGAAAAAGCAAGACAGGCCTAGACTCCCAGCCTACATCTTTCTCCCGTGCTGGATGCTTCCTGCCCTCGAACATAGGACTCCAAGTTCTTCAGTTTTGAGACTCCGACTGGCTCTCCTTGCTCCTTAGCTTGTAGACAGCCTATTGCGGGACCTTGTGATTGTATAAGTTAATACTTAACAATCACCCCTTTACAGATATAGATATAGATATAGATATAGATGATATAGATATAGATATAGATATAATCTATCTATCTATCTATATATATATATACACACACACACATCTCTATCTATTAGTGCTGTCCCTCTAAGAGAATCCTGACTAATACATTGACATTTAATGGTGATTGATTCTTAAATGTTTTTTTTTTACTACTTTCACAAATTATTGTTTAAGACATAGTTTTCACTACTAATGTCTAAGATTCACTTGGTACCTTAATGCCTTAATGACTCCTCCAAATGGTAATAATAGCATACATCATCTGAGGTTGTCAAAAATATTTTTCATGCACCAGTCATATTTTGTGTTCATAGTTAACTTCTTCTTAGAATTTTTAAAAATTGCATATTTCCATGCATGTAATTTTTCTGCTGGACCATTTAAATGTTCAACAAATAGTTATTGACTATCAATTCAATGTTCAAAGTGAGAAGACTGGGTAAAAAATGAGACTAAAACGTTTAACATTGAAAAGTACTTAGTTTTGTTATTTTTCATTATGTAGAACATTTTTATTTCATTAAAAATTAATTGGAAACATATATTCAACCCGAATTTCTCAGTGCCAAAGTGACCAAACTGAAGTGTTTTCAAGTGATTAGAGTATAGGAACTTAACTACTAAAAGAGTTAACTATGTAGTTACTGATATGAAAACAAAAAGACAAACTCAAAGTTAAAATCAGATATCCTGGGTACAACTACAAGAACTATAGTTCTGTAGGTGTATGAACATGCACAAATTATTTAATGCCTTTCTGATTTAATTCCCTCATCTGAAAATGGGAACCTAATATACATGCTATCTAATTCCATGATTGATAAAAAGATTCAATTTGAAATCCTCATATAACTGGTATATAAACAATGACATCAGCATGTAAGTATAAATATTGCAAAGTGTTCTTTAAATAAGAATAGAATATCAAAATGTTTAATATTCCCACAAACATTTTGAATAGGATATGATTGTATTTTTGAGAATTCTTTAAAGTATAGCCCATTCCATATTCTCTGTATCTATTAAATTTCATATGGTGAATTCTAGACAATTCTTATCCACTATAATTGAGAATAATGATCCCATTATTGCAGTCATACATTCATACCTTCATTCATCCATTTATTAAACAAACATTTATTGAGCATCTTATGTGCTTCAAGCTTTTGGTATCTGTCTGGGTATAGGAAAAAAATAGTGACATGGTCCCTGCTCTTATAAAACTGTATGTGAGGTTATGTATATAATTGAAATACTCATAAAATATGCTGAAATAGAGGTACACAGTATATTGTTTGTGAACATTGAGGGTTAAATAAATTATTCAAATCAAGATATATTCTAGGGTTCTCAGTCAAGGCGCTAATTTCCAATTTGCCTCACAAATTCTCTGTATAGCAAATTCAGCAAGAGCAATATTAACTGGTCTGAGGTTCAACCTCTCTCTCTGTCTCTAGTAACAATCCTAAAAAAGTATGAGAATGTGAAGAGTTAGAAAATAACAGGGAAAGGAAAAAAATTTAAAGGACCTGGGTAACATAACAAGATAATAACAAACAACTCAGATATTAATCTTAATATGGAATAAAAAAATTCATATTTTAACCAAATAAGAAAAGATTAAAATCGATAACATTGAACATCTATTACATCCTACATTTTAGACACCACATTTATATATATTATCTTATTTTAAAACTTGAAAAAACATTAAATTAAAAATTATTGCACTTACTGTTTTTTGCTTGTTTGTTTGTTTTATTTTACTTTAAGTTATGGGATACATGTGCAGAACGTGTAAGGTTTGTTACATAGGTATAGACATGCCATGGTGGTTTGCTGCACCTATCAACTCACCATCTACATTAGGTATTTCCCCTAATGCTATCCCTCCCCTAGCCCCCCATTGCCCAACAGGCCCTTGTGTGTGATGTTCCCTTCCTGTGTCCATGTGTTCTCATTGTTCAACTCCCATTGATAAGTGAGAACACGTGGTGTTTGATTTTCTGTTCCTGTGTTAGTTTGCTGAGGATGATGGTTTCCAGCTTCATCCATGTCCTGGCAAAGGAAATGAACTCATCCTTTTTTAAGGCTGCCTAGTATTCCATGGTGTATATGTGCCACATTTTCTTTATCCAGTCTATCATTAGTGGGCATTTGGGTTGGTTCCAAGTCTTTCCTATTGTGAATAGTGCTGCAATAAACATACGTGTGCATGTGTCTTTATAATAGAATGATTTATAATCCTTTGAGTATATACCCAGTATGGGATTGCTGGGTCAAATGGTATTTCTGGTTCTAGATCCTTGAGGAATCATCACACTGATTTCCACAATGGCTGAACTAATTTACACTCCCACCAACAATTTAAAGCATTCCTATTTCTCCACATCCTCTCCAGCATCTGTTGTTTCCTGACTTTTTAATGATTGCCATTCTAACTGGTGTGAGATGGTATCTCATTGTGGTTTTGATTTGCATTTCTCTAATGACTGGTGATTATATATATATATATATACACATATATATATAGTATATTATATATACATATTACATATATAAGATATAATATATTATATATACATATTATATATATATATATAGCACTTGTTTTATTGTGGCATATCTGAAGTGTTGAAAGATTAAGTCACCTAAACTAAAACAAACTAAAAACCATAGCTTTTAAAAATTCCAAATCCTATATATCTCCTCTAAAACACATACCTAGTCTTAAAATAAAACAATACATGCACCCACAATTCTCTAACATATGAGTGTTTAGGTGTGTATGATGAAGCTTCTCAATCTTGCTCTTTAAACTTAATCTCTGATTCTTTACACAATTTATTGCATGTCAAATTGCAATTATAGTAAACAAAAGAGTTTATCTCCTGTGGTGAAAGACAATTTTCCATCCGAGTTAGTTATTTAGTCCTGTTACATAGAAGGCATGTCATAGGCAAGAACAGAAGTTATTTATTCATACACTGGGAAGAAAATTACTTTTGGCATTTTCACTTTCCTTGTTAAACAAATATTATCAAGTAGGTACTGAATATCTGCTATGTATTCAGAATTCACCTACCCTCTGTGGTAGGACCTGTAAAGTTATCACATGCTGTATAGCATAAAGGTGACTAATGACAAGGAAAAGAAAAAGCTTCTTCCAGAAATTGGGATTCCAATGTAAAAATATGAGTACTATTTAAATAAGTAAAGGGAAAAATGTATGGAGGGTAGTCTCTGAAGACACAGACAGAATAAAGCAATAGAAACCAAAAGAAAATTGACATAGTCACTGGAACAGTGGTTCAAGGCCCATAATAAGGCCATTCAGCATATTATTTGTTCAAATAAAATATGGATTTCTGCCAGGCTTCAATTTTCTAAAAATCATATTTAATCTTGTAACAGTTTTTTTTTGCCATTTACACTATTACATTTAATTAGAGCAAAGTTTGCATTTAACACATAATCTTTTTATAAACATTAAATAGAAAAAAGAAACACTATACTTGAATTATGACACAATGTTTTTTAAAAATTTTCATTAATGATGAAAGTCATCTAGACTTTTAGAGATGTTATAATACAAATAAAAGTTTTTCTCATAAATAATGAAACACAGAATCTGAATTGTAACATTTTAAGGGTCTTTGGTTTCTCTCACCATTCCTATTCAATAATGTACTTAAAAGTCCTAGCTAATGAAAATTTAAGACCAACAAAAGAAATAAAAGTTATGCAGACTGGGAAAAAATACAAATGTCTTTTCACAGATGACATAACTGTCTATGTAGAAATCCCAAAGAATTAACAATAACAATAACAACCACAACAAAAAAATTCCTGGAATAAGAAATTGCCAGGTTGCAGGATACATAGTATAAAAAAGTCAATTGCCTTTTTGTGTACCATCAATAAATAATTGGAATTTGAAATTAAAAACACAATACCATTCACATTAGCAGGACTGTTAACATATAATATACAAAGTAGTCTTTAAAGTCAACAAGAAGGAGAAAAGTAAAATTAAAAATGAGCAAAATAGGCTGGGCATGGTGGCTCATGCCCGTAATCCTAGCACTTTGGGAGGCTGAGATGGGCAGATCACCTGAGGTTAGGAGTTCAAGACCAGCCTGGCCAACATGGTAAAACCCCGTCTCCACTAAAAATACAAACATTAGCTGGGCACAGTGCTGCAAGCCTGTAATCCCAGCTACTCGGGAGGCTGAGGCAGGAGAATTGCTTGAACCCGGGAGGTTCACATAAAACTTATATTAAATAAATTTGTATGCTTTTCTCCTGTTGATCTGTCTTATGTCAATTTAATTATTGGTTCCAAAAAACCCCTAAGAGGGTAGTAGTTAAATTTTACCTTCACTACATTCATCATCTTTAATACCATGCACACAGCAGTGACCTTGTCATTTGCAGCAAATGCAAATTGTTATTATCTCAATTTCAGTCATCGCACTCTTTGAACCATATTCTACATGTCTAGTACTAGGACCTTGATATCAATAATATTTTGACCTTGCTTTAACCTCAATTGATTAATCTTAACAACTTTTCACGATGTCTCACATTTCTCCTTCCCCTTTTCTCTTTCCTACTAGTTTAAATGCTAAGTTCAATTATTTCAACTACTTCATTGCATACATTATAAATTTATTGACCTTCTCTTTCTGTCTCATTTGGCCAAACCTTCATGCAGGTTATATCCAATTTTAAAGCTACTTCATGCCTACAGGTGTTCCAATGAACTTACAAGAAGAAGAAGGAGAAGGAAGAGGAGGAGGAAGCAGGAAGAAGGTAGGAAGAGGCTGATGAAGCTCATCTCACTTTAATTTTATGACTACAAATCTCTTATAGGCCCTTAAATTTAACTAGAAATCACATATCGTACCTAATTGATTAATGCTTCTGGGCCTCTGATGACTTTTCAAACTTTCTCATTTTCCTCAAAATTCTAGCATTGCTACACCATTCTCTCTTTAGTTGATGAATTATTTCCTATTTTACTGAAAAACTTGAAGTAATCATTTTTTTCTTTAAGCTTTCCCACCACAGTCAACCCACTGAGCAACATTCGTGACCATTTAACTTGGCTTCCCTCTTGCTGTGTAAAACTTTTTATGCTCCTATTTAAGGCCAGTTTCTCCCTATATGTCATTCTTTCCTGACTGCTAATAATATTGCTTTAGAAAATTAAATACTTTATTTCCTTCATCATTAAAATTTTTTTCACTAATGGATTGCTTCTGTCAATGAAAGACATTGTTATTTGTGGTTTTGATTTGCATTTCTCTAATGACCTGTGATGATGAGCCTTTTTTCATGTTTATTGGCCGCATAAATGTCTTCCTCTGAGAAGTGTCTGTTCATATCCTTCACCCAGTTTTTGATGGGGTTATTTGTTTTTCTCATACATTTATTAAAGTTCCTTGTAGATTCTGGAGGAATAGGAATGCTTTTACGCTGTTGGTGGGAATGTAAATTAGTTCAACCATTGTGGAAGACAGTGTAGCCATTCTTCAAGGATCTAGGACCAGAAATTCCATTTGACCCAGCAATCCCGTTACTGGTTATATACCCAAAGGATTATAAATCATTCTACTATAAAGACACATGCACAGGTATGTTTATTGCAGCACTATTCACAATAGCAAAGACCTGGAACCAACCCAAATGCCCATCGATGATAGACTGGATAAAGAAAATATGGCACATATGCACCATAGAATACTATGCAGCGATAAAAAAGAATGAGATCATGTCCTTTGCAGGGACATGGATGAAGCTGGAAACCATCATCCTCAGCACACTAACACAGGAACAGAAAACCAAACGTCACAGGTTCTCACTCATAAGTGGGAGTTGAACAATGAGAACACATGGACACAGTGAGGGGAACATCACATACCAGGGCCTGTCAGGGGTTGGGGGACGAGGGGAGGGAGAGCATTAGGACAAATATCTAATGCATGTGGGGCTTAAAAACTAGATGATGGGTTGATGGGTGCCACAAACCACCATGGCACATGTATACCTATATAACAAACCTGCACGTTCTGCACATGTATTCCAGAACTTAAAGTACAATTTTAAAAAAAGATAGTGTTGTTTGTTTCATCTTAAAAAAACAAAATAAAGCAAAATAAAACCAAATACACCAAAAACTTATTGATGTTTTCTTCTGTAACTACTGTTCTACTTCTCTGCTCTGAGAATCTGCTCTTATTCTTCTCAAATTCTCTCCTATCTCCCTCCAAACTGTTCCAATCAGTTTTTGCTTCAATACTCTACCAAAACTGTTGTTTTAGTGGTCACCAACATCTGGATTTCAGAATCTGATGGTCAGTAATCAGTCTTAATCTGATTTCGCCACTAGTAGCATTTGGCATTAGAGATTACTCTCTAACTTTTAAAGTCAGAAAAAAACAGGATATGGCAATCTCCTGATTTTGCTGCTACCTCACAAATTTATGTTTCTCTCCTTTTTTGGTTCCTTCTTATCTCCTGACCTTCTAATTTCGGTACATACCGGAGATTCATTTTTGAAATTCTTTTACATTTATTTTTAATCTCATTGTAATTTTCTCCGGTCTCATTAAGTACTATCTAATGAATATTACCAAATTTATGTCCCCAACCATGACCTCTCTCCAAGTTTCAGCCTCATATACTTTCCCTCCTATTAGTCATCTTCACATGTCCCTCTAATAAGAATTCCAACCTTTCCATTTCCAAAGCTGAAATGGTGACCTACCTCTCTTCCTTCACTTTCCAATATGTGTCTTTTTCTCAGTCTTCCTCATATCAGATAATGATTCATCCTTTAGTCACTCAGGCCAAACACCTTGAGTTATTCATGTTTCTTAGCATATTTGTCCTACTACAACACAATACCAGAGATAGGATAGTTTATTAATAATCAAAATTTATCTCTCATAGTTCTGGAGGCTGGGAAGCCCAAGCTCAACATGCCAGAAGGTTCTATTCAGTGTGTGGTGAAAGCCAATTTCCCATAGATTGATGCTGTCTAGGTGTCCACATGGTGAAGGGATGAAAGGGCAAAACTGAGGTCAAATGCTAGTTCCTCTAGCCCTTTTATAAGGCACTAATCCATTCATGAGGATGAAGTCCTCATGACTTAATCGCTTCCCAAAAGGCCTCAACTCTTAATACAACCACAGCAGGAATTAAGTCTCAATCTGAATTATGGAAGGGATACAAACATTCAAACCCATGACAACATAATCCATTTCTTCGACCCACAGTACAGACCTCAAAGATAAGTTCTATCTTCAAATGTACTCAAAATAGCATCATTTCACACTACTTCCAACTTCTATGATAGTCAAATGTACAATAACTCTCAATTAGAATACTTCAGTAGCTTCCCAACAACTCTCAATGCTTCAGTGTTGGCTTTGCTAAAGTTTCTTCTCAACCCAGAAGCCAGAGTCATCCATTAAAAACATAACTCAGCTCAGATGGCGCCATTTTTCCAAATACCTCAGTGGCTTTCTCTAATAAAGACACAGAGTAAAAGGTTAAGTCAACATGAAGATCTTTCAGGCTCTAGAAAATATGATCCTCATAATTCTCAAATTTTATCTCCTAGTAATCGTCTCCTCACTTACTTCACTTTGACTTCTTGTACTTTTGCTTTTGCTAAAAATATTCAAGCATTTTCCAGCCTCAAGGCCTTTGCACTAAAAAATTGTGTATACTTAGTCAATAGTATCAAAGGATTCACAAAGTCACCAGAATGCATTAGGCTAGCATGGTACGCAAAAATAGTCACCTTAATACAGACACATAAAACAAAGGTGATAAAAAGGGGATGTGTTTCTGGATGCAAACCAAAATAGAGACAATCCTTCTAGACAATTGAAGTGGAAGTGTATACACTGCATCAACAATTGTATTTTATATACGATTAATGACGCCATTAGCAAATTATAGACAGTATATTCAGAATAAACATTTAATTACAGCCTATTAATTTACTGGTTTGCTTTAAACAGAAACTCCTGAAAAAACACCTTCAGAAATGTTTAGTTGAAGTAGAGTTTGACAAATTATTTTCTGAAGTAATATTAGTCACCAGATAATCCTATCTCTTAAAACTTGGTGCTGTAATGATGAACAATCTAGTCGGGATAAGTTAATTAATCGCAGACTTTTACTTGCCTTTTCTTTCAATTATTTCTTCCAACTTTTTCAAACTTAGGTTAACTTGAATACAACAAAATCAAGGATCAAAACAATGAAACTATATCTAGAACATTTTAAATGAAAGCTACTCAGATGTGCTTTAAACACTCAAATATGCTTGAAGATAGACTCTATACTCAAGAATTTGTTTTTTAAAATGTCTTTAAAAAGTTTTCAGAAAAAACTTGAAATTTGTTTCTAAAGAGAGTAAAGTGAGTAACGTTTATCCCAGTGACAGGGAAAGTAGTTTCCTGAAAATTATATGAACACTTTTCACTCTATCTTTTAAAGAATTTTGGTGATCTTCTTTACTCATGATAATATTTTCTTGTTTTGTATAGCTTTGCTATCTTCAGGTCAGAAAAATTCTTGGTGTTCTAAGCCTCAGAATTGTATTTGGAGATTCTTATAAAAGAACATCATTTAAAGACATCTCTTGGCTGGGTGCAGTGGCTCACACCTGTAATCCCAGCACTTTGGGAGGCCGAGGCTGGTAGATCACTTGAGGTCAGGAATTCAAGACCAGTCTGGCCAACATGTTGAAACCCCATCTCTACTAAAAATACAAAAAGTTAGCTGAGCATGGTGGCGCATGTTTGTAATCCCAGCTACTCAGAGGCTGAGGCAGGAGAATTGCTTGAACCCTGGAGGTGGAGGTTGCACTTACTCGAGATCGTGCCATTGCACTCTAGCCCGGGTGAAAAGAGTGAGGCTCCATCTAAAAAAAAAAAAGACATCTCTTGATTATGTGATTCAGAAGGTAGAAATCAGCAAAGTATTAAACATAAATTATAACTTTTCAACAAAATTATTCTGGGAATGAACAGATTGTATGCTCTATCATTTAGCAGATGAGATTTATTATGTTACATATATTTATATAAATATGATATATAACTATACATCATATACTATATAATGTTTTATATGTATAAATATTTAATTACATAATGTTTGATATATATATTTGGCAAGTAAATTAATTAACTTGGAGGAACAGTATTGAGGTTTAAACAGAAATGTTTTGCTCCTGTGCCAGAGAAATTCTTAGGAACATTTTTACATTTTAATAAATATTTAACATTAACTGAGCACATTCTGTTAGCAAATGATCTATTTTTTCATAATGTAGATAAATGATTATTAGCTCATTTAAATAATAAAATATTAAACCCTAAAAATTTTGTGTTTAAGGATGACATGAACTTTGTGGAATAGTAAAAGCTCCATTCTATTTTCCTTCCAATTGAAAATTTTTTCTTACACTGAAAAATCTGCTTCTTGGCAGTTTTCACTTATTGGTTCTACTGTTACATTTCAGAATAAAGTAAATCTTAGCTCTTATTTTTAAGACAGAGCTCAGAAGTATATGAGGTCAAATGGTCAACTAATTTTCTCTTTTTTTTTTTTTTTTTTGAGATGGAGTCTTGCCCTGTTGCCCAGGCTGGAGTGCAGTGGCATGATCTTGGCTCACTGCAAGCTCCACCTCCCGGGTTCTTGCCATTCTCCTGCCTCAGCCTCCTGAGTAGCTGGGACTACAGGCACCTGCCACCATGCCCAGCTAATTTTTTTGTATTTTTTTTTTTAGTAGAGACGGGGTTTCACCATGTTAGCCAGGATGGTCTCAATCTCCTGACCTTGTGATCCATCTGCCTCGGCCTCCCAAAGTGCTGGGATTACAGGCGTGAGCCACCGCACCAGTCCTTCAACTAATTTTCAATAAGGTCACACAGAAGGCATGATAGAGAAAAGATAGACTCTCAAATAAATAGTCTTAGAAAAACTGGATTTCCACAAGCAAAAGAATGAAATTAGGTCCTTATCTTGCATTATATCCAAGCAACTCAAATAATCAACACAAATTGATTAAAGTCCTAAATGTAAGTCCTGAAACCATAAAACCTTATAACAAAAAGGAAAAAAAATCTCATTGATATTGGACCTAGCAATGGTTTTTTAGATAGGATGCCCAAAGCACAAGCAATGCAAGACATTAAAAAATGAAATTATATCAAACTGAAAAGCTCTGTTCATTGAAGGAAACAAAATGAAAAGTCAGTCTGTGGTGTGGGAGACAATTATTTGCAAACCATATACCTGATAAAGGGTTAATTTCCAAAATGCATAAGGAACTCACACAACTCAATAGAAAACAAACAGAAAACCCCAAATAACTTGATTTTTTAAAATTTTCTTTTATTCTTATTTTTTATGGGTACATAGTAGGTGTATATATTTATGGGTTACATGAGATATTTTGATAACAGGCATGCAGTGCATGATAATCACATCAGAGTAAATGGAGTATCCATCCCCTAAAGCATTTATCCATTTTGTTACAAACAATCCAATTATACTATTTTAGTTATATTTAAATATACAATTAAATAGTTTTTGACTATAGTAAAACTGTTGTGCTAGAAAATACTAGCTACTATTAATTTTTTTTATTTTTGTACTCATTAACCATCTCCACATGCCCCCATCCCCACCAGTACCCTTCCCAGACTCATAACCATCCTTCTACTGTCTATCTCCAAGAGTTTAATTGTTTTATTTTTAAGCTTCTGCAAATAAATGAGAAGGTGCAATGTTTGACTTACTGTGACTGGCTTTTTTCACTTAACATAATGACCTCAGGAGGTGGATCCAAGATGGCCGAATATGAACAGCTCCAGTCTACAGCTCCCAGTGTGAGCAATGCAGACGATGGGTGATTTCTGCATTTCCAACTGAGGTACCAGATTCATCTCACTGGGGCTTGTCAGAGAGTGGGTGCAGGACAGTGGGTGCAGCCCACGAAGCGTGAGCTGAAGCAGTGAGGCATCACCTTACCTGGGAAGTGCAAGGGGTCAGGGAATTCCCTTTCCTTGCCAAGGGAAGCTGTGACAGACGGCACCTGGAAAATCGGGTCACTCCCACCCTAATACTGCGCTTTTCCAATGATCTTAGCAAAGGGCACACCAGGAGATTATATCCCGCACCTCGCTCAGTGGGTCCCACGCACACGGAGCCTCGCTCATTGCTAGCACAGCAGTCGGAGATTGAACTGCAAGGCAGCAGCGAGGCTAGAGGAGGGGCACCCACCATTGCTGAGGCTTGAGTAGGTAAACAAAGTGGCCAGGAAGCTCGAACTGGGTGGAGCCCACCACAGCTCAAGGAGGCCTGCCTGCCTCTGTAGACTCCACCTCTGGAGGCAGGGCATAGCCAAACAAAAGGCAGCAGACACCTCTGCAGACTTAAATGTCCCTGTCTGACAGCTTTGAAGAGAGTAGTGGTTCTCCCAGCATGGAGTTTGAGATCTGAGAATGGACAGACTGCCTCCTCAGGTTGGTCCCTGACCCCCAAGTAGCCTAACTGGGAGGCACCCCCAGTAGGGGCAGACTGACCCCTCACACCAGCAGGTACCCCTCTGAGACGAAGTTTCCAGAGGAACAATCAGGCAGCAACATTTGCTGTTCAGCAATATTTGCTATTCTGCAGCTTCTGCTGCTGATACCCAGGCAAACGGGGTCTGGAGTGGACCTCTGATAAACTCCAACAGGCCTGCAGCTGAGGGTCCTGACTGTTAGAAGGAAAACTAACAAACAGAAAGGACATCCACACCAAAACACCTTCTGTACGTCACAATCATCAAAGACCAAAGGTAGATAAAACCACAAAGATGGGGAAAAACAGAGCAGAAAAGCTGAAATTTCTAAAAATCAGAGCGTCTCTCCACCTCCAAAGGAATGCAGATCCTTGCCAGCAATGGAACAAAGCTGGATGGAGAATGACTTTGATGAGCTGAAAGAAGAAGGCTTCAGACGATCAAACTTCACTGAGCTAAAGGAGGAAGTTCGAACCCATTGCAAAGAAACTAAAAACCTTGAAAAAGGATTAGACAAATGGCTAACTAGAATAACCAGTGTAGAGAAGTCCTTAAATGACATGATGGAGCTGAAAACCATGGCACAAGAACTACGTGACAAATGCACAAGCTTCAGTAGCCGATTCGATCAACTGGAAGAAAGAGTTCAGTGATTGAAGATCAAATGAATGAAATGAAGCAAGAAGAGAAGTTTAGAGAAAAAAGAGTAAAAAGAAACAAACAAAGCCTCCAAGAAATATGGGAATAGGTGAATAGACCAAATCTACGTCTGATTGGTGTACCTGAAAGTGACAGGGAGAATGGAACCAAGTTGGAAAACACTCTGCAGGATATTATCCAGGAGAACTTCCCCAACCTAGCAAGGCAGGCCAACATTCAAATTCAGGAAATGCAGAGAACGCCACAAAGATACTCCTCAAGAAGAGCAACTCCAAGACACATAATTATCAGACTCACCAAGGTTGAAATGAAGGAAAAAATGGTAAGGGCAGCCAGAGAGAAAGGTCAGGTTACCCACAAAGGGAAGCCCATCAGACTAACAGCAGATCTCTCAGCAGAAACTCTACAAGCCAGAAGAGAGTGGGGGCCAATATTCAACATTGTTAAAGAAAAGAATTTTCAACCCAGAATTTCATATCCAGCCAAACTAAGCTTCATAAGTGAAGGAGAAATAAAATACTTACAGACAAGCAAATGCTGAGAGATTTTGTCACCACCAGGCCTGCAGTACAAGAGCTCCTGAAGGAAGCACTAAACATGGAAAGGAACAACTGGTACCAGCCACTGCAAAAACATGCCAAATTGTAAAGACCAACAATGCTAGGAAGAAACTGCATCAATAAACAAGCAAAATAACCAGCTAACATCATAATGACAGGATCAAATTCACACATGACAATATTAACCTTAAATGGAAATGGGCTAAATGCTCCAATTAAAAGACACAGACTGGCAAATTGGATAAAGAGTCAAGACCCATCCCTGTGCTGTATTCAGGAGACCCATCTCACGTGCAGAGACACACATAGGCTCAAAATAAAGAGATGGAGGAAGATCTACCAAGCAAATGGAAAACAAAAAAAGGTGGAGGTTGCAATCCTAGTCTCTGATAAAGCAGACTTTAAACCAACAAAGATCAAAATAGACAAAGAAGGCCATTACATAATGGTAAAGGGATCAATTCAACAAGAATAGCTAACTATCCTAAATATATATGCACCCAATACAGGAGCATCCAGATTCATAAAGCAAGTCCTTAGAGACCTACAAAGAGACTTAGACTCCCACACAATAATAATGGGAGACTTTAACACCCCACTGTCAATATTAGACAGATCAGCAAGACGGAAAGTTAACAAGGATATCCAGGAATTGAACTCAGCTCTGCAGCAAGTAGAACTAACAGACATCTACAGAACTCTCCAACCCAAGTCAACAGAATATACATTCTTCTCAGCACCACATCACACTTATTCCAAAACTGACCACATAGTTGGAAGTAAAGCACTCCTCAGCAAACATAAAAGAACAGAAATTATAACAAACTGTCTCTCAGACCACAGTGCAATCAAACTAGAACTCAGGATTAAGAAACTGACTTAAAACCACTCAACTACATGGAAACTGAACAACCTGCTCCTGAATGACTACTGGGTACATAACAAAATGAAGGCAGAAATAAAGATGTTCTTTGAAACCAATGAAAACAAAGATACAACATACCAGAATCTCTGGGACACATTTAAAGCAGTGTGTAGAGGGAAATTTATAGCACTAAATGCCCACAACAGAAAGCAGGAAAGATCTAAAATTGACACCCTAACATCACAATTAAAAGAACTAGAGAAGCAAGAGCAATTCAAAAGCTAGCAGAAGGCAAGAAATAACTAAGATCAGAGCAGAACTGAAGGAGATAGAGACACAAAAAACCCTTCAAAAAATCAATGAATCCAGGAGCTGGTTTTTTGAAAAGATCAACAAAATTGATTGACCACTAGCAAGACTAATAAAGAATAAAAGAGAGAAGAATCAAATAGATGCAAAAAAAGATGATAAAGGGGATATCACCATTGATCCTGCAGAAATACAAACTACCATCAGAGAATACTATAAACACCTCTACGCAAATAAACTAGAAAATCAAGAAGAAATGGATAAATTCCTCGACACATACACCCTCCAAAGACTGAACCAGGAAGAAGTTGAATCCCTGAATAGACCAATAACAGGTTCTGAAATTGAGGCAATAATTAATAGCCTACCAACCAAAAAAAAGTTCAAGACCAGACAGATTCACAGCCAAATTCTACCAGAGGTACAAGGAGGAGCTGGTACCATTCCTTCTGAAACTATTCCAATCAATAGAAAAAGAGGGAATCCTCCCTAACTCATTTTATGAGGCCAGCATCATCCTGATACCAAAGCCTGGCAGAGACACAACAACAAAAAAGAGAATTTTAGACCAATATCCCTGATGAACATCAATGCAAAAATCCTCAATAAAATAATGGCAACCCGAATCCAGCAGCACATCAAAAAGCTTATCCACAATGATCAAGTGGGCTTCATCCCTGGGATGCAAGGCTGGTTCAACATACACAAACCAATAAATGTAATCCAGCATATAAACAGAACCAAAGATAAAAACCACATGGTTATCCCAATAGATGCAGAAAAGGCCTTTGACAAAATTCAACAGCCCTTCATGCTAAAAACTCTCAATAAATTAGGTATTGATGGGATGTATCCCAAAATAATAAGAGCTATTTATGTCAAACTCACAGCCAATATCATACTGAATGGGCAAAAACTGGAAGCATTCCCTTTGAAAACTGGCATAAGACAGGGATGTCCTCTCTCACCACTCCTATTCAACATAGTGTTGGAAGTTCTGGCCAAGGCAATCAGGCAGGAGAAAGAAATAAAGGGTATTCAGTTAGGAAAAGAGGAAGTCAAATTGTCCCTGTTTGCAGATGACATGATTGTATGTTTAGAAAACCCCATCGTCTCAGCCCAAAATCTCCTTAAACTGATAAGCAACTTCAGCAAAGTCTCAGGATACAAGATCAATGTGCTAAAATCACAAGCATTCTTATACACCAATAACAGACAAACAGAGAGCCAAATCATGAGTGAAGTCCCATTCACAATTTCTTCAAAGAGAATAAAATACCTCAGAATCCAACTTACAAGGGATGTGAAGGATCTCTTCAAGGAGAACTACAAACCACTGCTCAATGAAATAAAAGAGGACACAAACAAATGGAAGAACATTCCATGCTCATGGATAGGAAGAACCAATAGTGTGAAAATGGCCATACTGCCCAAGGTAATTTATAGATTCAATGCTGTACCCATCAAGCTAACAATGATTTTCTTCACAGAATTGGAAAAAACTACTTTAAAGTTCATATGGAACCAAAAAAGAGCCCGCATTGCCAAGTCAATCCTAAGCCAAAAGAACAAAGCTGGAGGCATCACACTACCTGACTTCAAACTATACTACAAGGCTACAGTAACCAAAACAGCATGTTACTCATATCAAAACAGAGATATAGACCAATGGAACAGAACAGAGCCCTCAGAAATAATACCACACATCTACCACCATCTGATCTTTGTCAAACCTGACAAAAACAAGAAATGTTCTTCCATATTTAATAAATCGTGCTGGGAAAACTGGCTATTTAATAAATGGTGCTGCAGAAAGTTGAAACTGGATCCCTTCCTTATACCTTACACAAAAATTAATTCAAGATGGATTAAAGACTTACATGTTAGACCTAAAACCATAAAAACCCTAGAAGAAAACCTAGGCAATACCATTCAGGACATAGACATGGGCAAGGACTTCATGTCTAAAACACCAAAAGCAATGGCAACAAAAGCCAAAATTGACAAATGGGATCTAATTAAACTAAAGAGCTTCTGCACAGCAAAAGAAACTACCATCAGAGTAAACAGGCAACCTACAGAATGGGAGAAAACTTTTGCAATCTACTCATCTGACAAAGGGCTAATATCCAGAATCTACAAAGAACTCAAACAAATTTACAAGAAAAACGCAAACAACCCCATCAAAAAGTGGGCAAAGAACATGAACAGACACTTCTCAAAAGAAGACATTTATGCAGCCAACAGACACATGAAAAAATGTTCATCATCACTGGCCATCAGAGAAATGCAAATCAAAACCACAATGAGATACTATCTCACACCAGTTAGAATGGGGATCATTAAAAAGTCAGGAAACAACAGGTGCTGGAGAGGATGTGGAGAAATAGGAACACTTTTACACTATTGGTGGGACTGTAAACTAGTTCAACCAGTGTGGAAGACAGTGTGGCGATTCCTTAAGGATCTAGAACTACAAATACCATTTGACCCAGCCATCCCATTACTGGGTATATACCCAAAGGATTATAAATCATGCTGCTATAAAGACATATGCACACGCATGTTTATTGCAGCACTATTCACAATAGCAAAGACTTGGAACCAACCCAAATGTCCATCAATGATAGACTGGATTAAGAAAATGTGGCACATATACACCATGGAATACTATGCAGCCATACAAAATGAGGAGTTCATGTCCTTTGTAGGGACATGCATGAAGCTGGAAACCATCATTCTCAGCAAACTATTGCAAGGACAAAAAAATAAACACTGCATGTTCTCACTCATAGGTGGGAATTGAACAATGAGAACACTTGGACACAGGAAGGGGAACATCACACACCTGTCGTGGGGTGGGGGATGGGGGAGGGATAGCATTAGGTGATATACCTAATGTAAATGATGAGTTACTGGGTGCAGCACACCAACATGGCACATGTATACATATGTAACAAACCTGCAGGTTGTGCACATGTACCCTAGAACTTAAAGCATAATAAAAAAAAACATAATAAACATAATGACCTCCAGGTCCATTCATGTTGTTGCAAATGATGGGATCTTATTATTTTTTATGGCTGCATAGTACTCCATTGTGTATATGTACCACAATTTCTTTGTACATTCATCGGATGAGGGACACCTGGGTTTCTTCCAATTATTGGCTACTGTGAGCAGTGCTGCAATAAATATGAGGGTACAGATATATCTTGAATATACTCATTTCCATTCTTTTGGATATATACTCAACAGTGGGATTACTGGATTGTAGCTCTATTTTTAGTCTTTTGAGGAACCTCTAAACTGTTCTCCATAGTGGTTATAGTAATTTATATTCCCATCCACAGTGTACAAAAGTTCTCTTTTATCCCCCTCCTCATCAGCATTTGTTATTGCCTGTCATTTGAATAAAAGCCATTTTAACTGGTGTAAGATCATATCTCATTGTAGTTTTGATTTGCATTTCTGTGATGATCATTCTCTGATGTTGAGCACATTTTTAGAACAAAAAACCTAATTTACAAACCACACAAAGGACCTGAATACACATTCCTTTTTTATAGCTGTCATCCATTTTATGTTGACAGGTATATAAAAATGCTTGCATCCTCATTAGTCATCAGGAAGATGCAAATCAAAATCACAAAAAGGTATCGCCTCATTTCTGTTAGGATGGCTATTATCAAGAAGACAAGAGCTAACAAGTATCAGCAAGGGAATGGAGAAAGCAGAACCCTTACATACTACTGGTGGAAATGTAAACTGGTCCATTACTGAGGAAAATGGTATGAAAGTTTCTAAAGAAATTAAAAATTAAACTACCATATGATCTAGCAATCCCTCTTTTGGGTATATACACAGAGGAAATGAAATCACTTTATTAAAGATTTCTGCACTCCCATGTTCACTGCAGCATTATTCACAATAACCATAATATGGAAACAACTTAAGTGTCTGTCACAAGATGACTAGATAAAGAAACTGTGGCCTATGCATATATAAATACACAATAGGATATTATTCTGCCTTAGAAAGGGAGATCCTGCCATTCATGACAACATGGATGATGCTCACTTATTTCTCACTTGGGCCTTGATAATGTTGAAAACTAGAGTGCCCTCAATCTCCAATAATTTAACAAACCTTTAAAACCTTGAATGCTTGAGCCCTTTTTAGCCTTCCTGAATTTTGGTGGTGGCAATTTTCTGTCGGAACCCATATCCACAAACTAATTAGCTATGCCCTCAGGCACATCATCTAAGTGGACTAACCCTCAGTTTTGTCAAATGTAGAAAGGTGGTGATAATAGTTCCAGGTTCTTAGGATGATTATGAGAATTGGTAATATATTTAAATGCTTAATAAAGCACATGCAATATGCAGGACACTTATTAAGCGATAGGTCTTATAGGGTCTGATGGTCTAGTCTCATGTCATCTGGATCTGAAACAGGAATTGTGCAAGGGTACAACAGCAAGAGTGACTTGGCAGTAAGGAAATAGGCAATGGATGGAAAATATGTGCATCACCTTTTTTGACCTAGGTTTGGAAAGTTTCATATCTATTTTCAATCTTTGCCATAGATGGAAATTTTATAATTTATAATTTTATAAGTTTTTTTTCACATTTGTTTTTTTGGTTTCCTTGATTTTTTTGAGGATTAATTCCCCAAGAAAGCTTAAGTAAGAATGGTTGGATACAAAATGTATGATTTTATAAACCTTACACTCTACACTGATATTTGCAAATTGTGGCCTGATTATCTTTGGATAAAGGCATATGTAGTTCATGTATTGTTTTTTAACTTCATAATTTTTGTAGACTCCATGTACTGCTTGGCATTAAAAATCACCTTCACATGAAACAGCTGGGACCATAAAGTGAGTGCCAGTAATAACCACTTTTTCCTTGACTCCCTGAATATAATATAACCTGAATAAAAGTAGTAACTAAATCCCATGTTTCCCCTTTTCCCAATCTCATTACTACCATGCTTTCTACAGGATTTTTTTTTAGTACAATGACTTTCAGTAGATTCTGACATCAATATTTGTAATAGTTTCACTCCTGGCTGGACTATAGATATATGTGATAGGGTGATATGGTTTGGATCTGTGTGTCAACCCCAATCTTTTTTGGATTATAATCCCCGATGTTAAAGGTGGGGCCTGGTGGAGGTGATTGGATAGATCATAGGAGTGGATTTCTCATGAATGATTTAGTACCATCTCTTGGTGCTGTTCTTGTGATAGTGAGCTTTCATGAGATCTGGTTGTTTAAAAGTGTGTGGCACCTCCTTCCCTCTCTCTTGCTCGTGCTCTGGCTACATGACTTCTCCACTCCTCTTTTACCTTCTGCAATGATTGTAAGTTTCCTGAGGCCTTTCCAGAAACTGAGCAGATGCCAGCATCATGCTTCTTATACAGCCTCCAAAACTGTGAGACAATTAAACCTCTCTTCTCTATAAATTACTCCATCTCAAGCATTTATTTACAGCAATACGAGAGCCAGTGAATAGAAAGGGGCTGTCAGCACCCTTTCTTGTTAATTTTTTTATGAACTAGGACTGCAGGTACTTTGTAATTCAATCTGGTTCCCTCCTTATTAGTGAATTCACAAGTATTTGGAATGGGTGACAAAGTGGATTCATGGATTCATATTACTAGGAAGTAAACCAGATACAGACTTAAAATCTTCAGGGAAAAAAATGGCTATAAAATGCAAGAGAAACATATTCTTGGTCTATTGTACCTTAATTATGAGAATTAAGAAAAGTGACTTTATCTCTGGACCTATATATTTAATGTTTTAAAATTAAGTCAGAAGAGATTTCTTCAATGATTAATTGAATTCAGCCCCTTCAATGACAGCAACAGCTCATAATTACTGACCATTTCGTATGTGCCATGTGCCATCCTAAGTGTCTATTTTTCATTTTCTCATTTAGAGCTCATGAAGGAGGAACACATAAGTCACATAATTTGCCCAAAGTCACACAGTTAGTATGTGCTAAATCTTGAATCTGGAGCTAAAACTACTTAACTCTAAAGCAACTAATATGCTTATGGCACTAAACCAGGCTGTGGAGTTTGGAGTTTGAAATTCAGAGACGGGCCAAAAACTGTCTCTGATAACTCAAAATCCACAGTTGAGTGAAGTTTTTGTTGCCACTAAAGTTTGTCATTTAGACAACTTATCTCTCACAATCAAGATGTGTTACTTAAAAATCAAGAAAAATAGAAGTAGTTTTAAAAATTGCAAGCTAAACAGCAAAATAAACTATCAATAGAGTAAACAGACAACCTACAGAATGGGAGAAAATATTTGCAAACTATGCATCTGGCAAAGGTCTAATATCCAGAATCTATAAGGAAGTCAAACAAATCAACAAGCAGCAAACTAACAACCCCATTAAGGAATGGGTAAAAAACATAAACAGACACTTCTCAGAACAAAATATGCACATTGCCAACAAGCATATGAAAAATGCTCAATATCACTGATTGTTAGAGAAATGCAAATCAAAACAACAATGAGATATAATCTCACACCAATCAGAATGGCTGGTAGCATTCTTTTTTATCAAAAAGTCAAAAAATAACAGTTTCTGACAAGGTTACACAGTAAAAGGAATGCTTATACACTGCTTGTGGGAATGTAGTTCAGACACTGTGGAAAGCAGTTTGGAAATTTCTCAAAGAACTTAAAATACAAAACCATTCAACCCAGCTATCCTATTACTGGGTGTATACACAAAGGGATATACATCATTCTACCATAAAGACACATGCACGTGTATGTTCATAGCAGCACTATTCACAACAGCAAAGGCATGGAATCAACTGAGATGCCCATCAACAGTGGACTGGATAAAGAAAATGTGGTACATCTACACCATGGGTACTATGCAATCATAAAAAAGAATGAAATTGTGTCTTTTGCTGCAACATGAATGGAGCCGAAGGCTTTGTGAAGGTTCCATTCACAAAGATGGGAACAGTGGACATGGGACTCTACTTAAGGGTGGAAGTTGGGAGAAGGCTGAGGATTGAAAAACTACCTATTGGATATTATGCTGATTACCTGGATGACAAAATTATCTGTACACCAAATCCCTGCAACACACAATTTACCTATGTAACAAATCTGTGCATGTACCCCTTGAAGCTAAAACAGAAGTTGGAAAGAAAAAAATGCAAGTTAAAAAGAAAAAAAAAGGAGCTTTAGAGATTCTTTGTAAAAATCAAAATCTTTTTGAAACTTTATAGAAACTTTGTAGTAATGAGCTAATCCATTCAGCGTTTTCTCTCCCGTAATTACAGCATATAACCGTTACCTCCTCAAACATTTTTTCAAAATGTTTATTCAGAACAATGATCCAGACAAAAGTTGATTATTTGAGGAAACATTCTGTCTCTAAGGTCTGTATGATAGTGTATTCAATGAATACATCTAATGCCATTCAAACCATTCAAGTACTAACTGAGCTTACTTAGTACTATGAGCTCACAATTACCTTAGGGCCACAAAACTTAAATACTCTTAAACAAACCCTAATATATAATCGCTTAAATGTCTCCTACCAACTCTATTTAAAACTCAAAATAATTCAGACTCTTTCCCCATTACGTAGAGTTGTAGTTCTTTAGACTTCTGTACCATAGCCAATACTTCTGCTACAGAAACTTCAGTTGTGAATGCAGAAGTAAAAAGTGTTAATGTAAGAACATTTCTAAAATAAAAATGAAAAAATGTTATATATGATTTACAATTGCATCATATCTAATAACAAAACCACGACCACAACCACAACTACCATATCAACAAAAAGAACTAAAGATGTCACTATGCAAGCACTGAAAATATACAGCAATGTAGGACTAATTAAATAATTAGGATGCAACAACATAATGGGATGTTATGCAATCATTAAAAATAGTTTCAAAATTGTTTAAGGTAGCATCATACAATAGAACCATCAGCAATAATGAAATTTTTTATATATGCACTATTACAGTTGCCAAAATCACATGCAGTTATTGAGCCTTAGATATGTGACTAGTGTGACAGATTAATTTTATATAATTTTAATTAATTTAAATTTGAATTTGAGTTTATACTCATTTTCAGTTTTTATACACAATCATGTAATATGCTTGTACTTACAAAGGAGAAAATTTTTAAAATGGAGAAAACATTGGCAGTGAGTAGGAAAATTAAAATAAACCTTTGTGCTCGTAGTAAGACAGATTGGAGATATTACCTCACACATATATATCAAAAGAGTGTTTAGACTCAGTTCTTTTTCAAGTAATGCACTTGTTTTTATTTAAAATATTGAGCAAGCAAATGGAAGGTAGCTTATTTTTCATTATTTTAGGAATAAACATTCTCATTTGAAAATATATTTAAATAAAAATATTTAAATAATAATCTTTTAAGTTATTTAAAAAATTACGTGTATGGTTCCTCTGTATAAAATGATTATATTCATTCTCTTTTATTTCTTTTGTTTCAAATGATAACAAAATTGATTCTTCGATTAGTATTCATGTATATTTTATCTGACTCATTGGTTACAATATTATAATCTGTCAATCATAATGCCTAGTGATAATGATGATGCATAAAGTGTTGTTTCCAGAAAAATTTGGAAAATGTTACTGGACTTTCTAACACATCATGACAAGAAACCTACAAACGTTTGACAAGAAATCAAGCTTTATTTTTGAAAACCAAAATCCATTTCAGTTCTTATGATGAATTTATTTATTTTATCATTCTTTCTATTGTTTCTAATTCCCAATCCATGGTGAAAGTTTATTTCTTCTGAGAATAGTCATCTCGTAGCATTAACAATGAACCAATATAATGAAATATCATAAAACAAATATTCAATTACAAAACATAATGGGAGCTTCCCCTATATTAAAATGTCCCTAGTTATTGAGTAATATCAGATACTTGTTATGCTCAATAGTCCATGAATAATTTATAGCTTACTCTGTTATTTGACAACAACATTTTTATAAATAAGATTCCTCAGTGTTTTACAATTCTGATTATAGTTTGGTAAAGGCTTTCATTAATGCCCATATTTATGGACTTAATGAACAAACTTTGATAACATATTGGGCTTTAAGGGGTTGCTGTGAGTTACTTTTGACATTGTTTATTGAAAGGCAACATTTCAAGCCCAAATCATTACTATGTTTTCCTGAAACACAGATCTATGAATCAGGGTATTTCAGAAATGGAATATTAAACAATGCACACAGTTCTTTTCTCTTTTTGGAAAGAGCCAAGTACACAGAATTTCCCAGCCAAGTACATGCAGAACTTCCCAGCATTTAATACACTCAGAATTTTCCAGAATTAAAAATATATAAATATATATGTATAACTCTGTACTTTAATCAACTTTGTGTGTATATGAAGTAAATAATAATCACTAGCCAAAAGCATCATGCTTTAAAAACTGAGGGAAAAAATTTCATTGCAAGTTATTTGCAGAAAAATAGTTTTGCTATTACCTAGCACATTTGTACATGCTGGTTATTTTGTGCATTTGGACTTCCTCAGGCCCAAGAAGCCAAATCCACCCACCCATCTTTAATATTCTCAGGACAAAGTAGGAAAAAAAATGCAACAAGCTGTTGAAATTCAAAATGGCAGTACTTTTTGGAATATGTCAGTAGTTTTAGGGAAAAAAAAAGTACATTTCAAATCCTGAACATCATGGGCTAAATAAAGCTCTGTCTTAATGATTATGTAGAGAATACCTGACATGATCTTTTTGACCTTCCTCCTTCTTAAGCACAAACAACTGTAATTTAAAATTCTAGGCCGGGCCCGGTGTCTCACGCCTGTTATCCCAGCACTTTGGGAGGCCAAGGCTGGCGGATTATCTGAGATCAGGAGTTCAAGACCAGCCTGGTTAACATGGTGAAACCCCGTTTCTACTAACAATACAAAAAATTAGCCAGGAATAGTGGCATGCGCCTGTAATCATAGCTGCTCGGGAGGCTGAGGCGGGAGAATCGCTTGAACCCGGGAAGCGGAGGAGCTGAGATCACACCATTGAACTCCAGCTTGGGAAACAAGAGTGGAACTCCGTCTCAAAAAAAAAAAAAAAATCTATAAGCTAAGGGAAAATTAAAAATTAAAAAGAGTATAAAAGAAAACAAAGCAATAAATTAGGACCCTGAGGTGTCTCTCTGAAGAAAATCTTCAGCCTGTCCACTCGTTAGATTGTATTCCTGTCTCGGTGAGGAGATACAAAACAATTTCCAGGTAGGTCAGAGAATCTGACATATGAGAAGCAGACATCTGTCTGCTTCTCAAGTAGCTACATGGACATTCACTGGGAAGATGTATAGAAGTGAGTTGTATGGGCCGGGCGTGGTGGCTCACGCCTGTAATCCCAGCACTTTGGGAGGCAGAGGCAGGAGGGTCACGAGGTCAGGAGTTCGAGACCAGCCCGAACAACATGGTGAAACCCCGTCTCTACTAAAAATACAAAAACTAGCCTGGCATGGTGGTATGTGCCTGTAATCCCAGCTACTCAGGAGGCTGAGGCAGGAAGATCGCTTGAACCTGGAAGGCGGAGGTTGCAGTGAGTCAAAATCAGCCACTGCACTCCAGCCTAGGTAACAGAGCAAGACTCTGACTCAAAAAAAAAAAAAATGAGTTTTATGTAAGATGAGGTTGAGGCAGCCAACAAAGCTTCTCCTGTTTCTAGAATGACATGAGGGAGCAGGTGGATTTTCCTATGACCCCAACATATTTTCATTTGTTAGAAGAGACAAAATCCAGCTGACATGAACATATTGTATTAGTAAAATAGAAATGTAACAAGAGGGAGCTATGGAAATGAAGATGCAGGTATTTCAGAGGATATCAGTATGAAGGCTAGCAATGGCAACATCCAGACTGAAGGATGTACACACCTTTGCAGATCATGGCACTGAGAGGCACCAACAAATGATCAGACAATGCAGCTAAATTTATGAAAATATAGAGGTCAACCAAGGAACAATGATGAAAAGGAAAAAAATCCCTTAGGAACTGCATTTAAACTTAACCTAAAATGTTTTACCTGGAATTAACCTAGGTTAGATCAGGCAGAATAGGCCTAAAGTATTAAGTTCAAGATATAAAAATTAGAAGTGACTTCCTTTTGCATGCTTGAATTTGTAAATGAGTCCCTTGTCAACTGGTGTTCTTACTAGAAGGGACCTTAGAAATCATCAGTGGAACCTTGATATCTAACCAACATCAAGAGGCAGGGAGACATTAAGTGACTCAGAAATGTAAGTACCCAATAACGAGTAGCAAATCCAGAACCACAATCCTTTTTCCTGCTTTCCAGTTCTTTCTGCTATATCTCTATACCTGCTTTAATAATTTAGCATTATTAAAGCATCATTTATGAATTTACTGTATGCTTGACAGGTGAGAACTAACAATGTGTCATTCTTGCCTTCAAGAGATAATCAAAAATTTCTATGTGTTAGGAGTGACTTTTGCCTCTGGGTTTACTGGAAGCAAATGAAGGCCATTTTTATTACTAACACAACTCAAAGGAAATCATTCCTTTAGAAACCACCTTTGAAGATTTTATTGCCTGTATATTATGTATTGAAATTAGGTGGGAAAATCACTGCCTTCAACTCAAATTTATGTGGGGTTAATTTGACTTTTAAGTCTTATGTAGTGTGACATTTTTTATAAAAGAAATATACTACAATTAGAAAGATATTGCACAATACATATATTTTTCTTTATTTTCAGTATAAATGCTTTAGAAAGCGTCTGCTTCAAAGCTCAACTTTCAAACCAATCGCTTCAGGCAAGAGGGAATAAAAGCCATTTTTTTCTTATGACTTGTGTTACAATTTTGTCTTCTTTGTTATAAGAAGCAAAGACATGGAAATGTGCAAAATATCTTTTGAGCTCTGCTTTTTGTTTTTTCTTTGAACTTTATGTCATTCTAATTTTGATAGTTTCTGAAGTCTTCCCTTTACAAAACTCTATATATTGATAGGATCAGAGGCTAAATTAAAGCTATTCTTTTCTAAAAGTTTTACAGTATATAAAGAAAGAATTTTGTAAACAAAAATTAT
Organism: Homo sapiens; assembly: GCF_000001405.40. Taxonomy (NCBI): domain Eukaryota; kingdom Metazoa; phylum Chordata; class Mammalia; order Primates; family Hominidae; genus Homo; species Homo sapiens. The sequence continues at coordinate 56,699,077 of NC_000010.11, forward strand.
GATGCGACAGTGTTAGTTTATGATAGAAATGTTTTAAATATCAAAACCCTAACAGACTAAAAGTGCAAAGATGCAGAAATATGTACGTTATTTTTTAAAAAAGCTGATATGAATCAATAGAGTCCACGAATTCCAAATATCAGCTCTCTACTATGGAATGCTGAAGCCAGGCTGGCAACTGATACAGCAAAATACAAATTCAAATTTTAGCATAAGTAGAGTGAAAGGATTTCAGGGCTTCCAGTAGTGTTTATAGATATATTTTTGTAGTTGCTAAATAAAATTTAATGTGAATTTGAAGCATGTATATAAATTATTTAAATTAATTATTGATAGCTTTGAAATGGTTTTATGAACAAGTTTGGTGCAAATGCAGCTGTATGAAAAAAAAGACATGGGGGTTACATTTGTCTGTGTTTCTATGGCAGCTATCTGAAAATGTAAATAATGCAGGCTTTAATTCACATTAAAAGCATGTACTAATGATTGTTTCCCAATATTAAAATGGACACCTGTAGTTCTATGACAATAGAATAATTTAAGGGTTAGTTTTGTAAATTGTTTTTAAAATAATGATGCTTTAAAATATAATGTTTTTAAAATAAATTAAAGAAAAAAAAATAGGACAAAACAGAACAAAAGTGCCATAGAGAAAACTCCATGACAAGATGACTACCGGTGAATACTGTTAGCCACTTAAGGAAGAAATAATACATTATAAAACAGAAAATAGAAAGAAAGGGGACACAGCTAAACTTATTTTATGAGAACATTATCTTGATATTATAAACTGAACAAGCATATTACCAAAAAGGAAAATGATTAGACAGTACTTCTTCTGAACAGTGATGCAAATAAACATATGTTAAGCATAAGCAAATCACAACACAGTATACATAAAGAAAAATGTGAGTACAACCTTATTCTGGATTTTATTCCAGGAGTGTACAGTTGGTCTAACATTTAAAAATTATTCAACATAATTTACCACATTATTTGAATAAAAAATGCTAGATAAATTTAATAAATTATCTAGATGTATTTAATAAAATTAATTTTAGATAAATTTAATAAAATTCATCGTCTTTCATGAGAAAGTCTCAACAAACTAGTAACTGAAGTGAATATTGTGTTTTACTTATTGTATATTCATAATAAAGAGTAGAGCTAAATTAATTCTTAATGGTGAAATAGTAAATACTTGCCCTTAAGTTACAGGACAAAAATATCCAATATTGTCACTCTTAAACATGGTCATAGAAATGCTAAAGCAGCATGGCAAGATAAAGAAATAAAGGTTATAAATATTGGAGTGAAATGGTGAAATCTGCCATTATTTGCAGATAACATCATTACAAACATAAACTGCATCAAATAATTTATAAACAATCTATTAGAATGAATGTCAATTTCACAGTATTGCAGGATACAAAGTCAGCTTTAAAAAGTATATTTCATTCTGTTAGCCTCAATAAATCTTAAAATGTAAGAATTTTTTTTAAATCACAGAATGCATAAGAATAAATCTATCAAAAATTTAATAGTGTATATCAATCGCCAACATCCTGTTTCTTTGCCTGGATTACAGCAATAAATTTCTGAATGGTCTCTATTCTTCTATCCTCTCTTGCAGATTTTCATGAAAAGAGAGGGCTGTGTGGCTCTTTTAAAAGTTGTATTAGCTTTGTATACCTGTTGTGACTAATTACTGCAAAATTGATGGGTTTAAACCACCTGCATTTATTCTCTCACTGTTCTGGCGATAAGAAGTCCCACATCAGTTTCAGTGACCCTCTGGAGGTTCTATCAAGGGGACAATATTTCTTTGCTTTTTCCAGCTTCTAGAGCTGCATTCCTTGACTTGTAGTCTTTTCCTTCATTTTCAAAGTCAACATCATAGCATCTGTTAGTGGTCATGTTGCTTTCTTTTTCTTCATCAAGCCTACCCCCGCCTCTCTTGCCATGACATTACAGTTCTCTCTGCCTGGAAGAATTTTCTCATTTAATTCTCTCACTTTATTTTCAGGTCTCTGCTCAAATGTCACATCAATAAATACGGCAACCTGTCAAACTGATCTACAATGACAGCATTTACCCCTTTCTATCACCTTATTCTGCTTTATTTTCCTTCATAGAAATGATCAGTATGTGATGTTAAACTAGACACAACCTTCATCTGAAATTGTTATGGGCTGTAGATTTTAAACCTGGGATATTCAATAAGGTTTGTGACAGCAAGCTCTAATCACACATATTGACATTTCAGTAATGACATGTATGCATGGGCACACTAAGAATGATACATATGTAAAGTGGTTTGTACCAGTCTAGATTCAGTTTTACCAGATAAGTTAGAAAAAAACCTTTCAGTTTTGAAAGATTTTTGATTTTAGAAATGTAGAAAATAAATTTTAGAATTATATCGTGTGCCTATTTATTTGCTCATTCTCTGTCTACCCTCACTAAAATGTAAACCACATGAGGGAAGGAGCCTTTCTGTTTTGCTTGCTGTTACATTGTCAGAGCCCATTATGTTGGCAGAAGCTAGCATAATATGTATTCAAATGTGTTGCATTAATTAATCAATGCATTGATGGTTGAAAAGGGAAATTCCCAAAATGAAAGACCTTATCCCCAAATTGTGTAATTATAAAAATAAAACAAATAAAAAACCTGAGAACTATTTAAGATCTTTACATGTAGTGAATTGTAAATAGCTAGGGTTTTTACCCATGCTCAGCAGCATAGATATCTTGAATAATCACAAATACCTATATATGCATTTTATGGTTAGGCTTTGTGTCCCCACCCAAATCTCATCTTGAATTGTAATCCCCATAATCTCCCTAATCCCCATGTCAAGAGACAGACCAGGTGGAAGTAATTGAATCCTGGGGGCAGTTTCCTCCATGCCGTTCTCGTGAGAGTGAGTGAGTTCTCAAGAGATCTGATGGTGTTTGTTTTATTTCGTTTTGTTTTTAGTTTTGTAGTTTTAGGTTTTATTTCCAGCTATAAATCCAATTATAAATTTTGCTGAAGTTAAACTTAATTTGTTTTTATATGAGGGCTCTTCCTGCTTCGCTTGGCACTTCTCCATCGTTCTGCCTTGTGAAGAAGGTATCTTGCTTCCCCTTAAACTTCTGCCATGAGTGTAAATTTCCTGAGGCCTCCCCAGTCATGCTCAACTGTGAGTCAATTAAACCTCTTTCCTTTATAAATTACCCAGTCTTGGGCAGTTCTTTATAGCAGTATGAAATGGACTAAAGAAAAGACTAAGAAAAACTGCAAATATTGAATGAGCATGAAGCCTGTAGAAATACGATTAACTTACATTGCTTCACATAACAAGGAAATAAAATAATATTTTGTGAATATGACTTCTGTAAGGCATATGTATTTAAAATGAACTACCTCTTTTTAGAGAATGACAATTATTGAAAAGACTATGACCTGTTTATGTGAAAAAATAGCAACTTAACAAGATAAGACTACGACTTATTTTTGTAAAAAATATAACAAACACAGATAAACCTAATTACACATTTACCTTCATAACTCATTTGACAGTAAAAAATAGAAAATGTATAATATAATTATGGTGCATTTAAAATATGATTATAGCCCATTTAAAGATATTGCTTAAAAGAGAAAGTCTCTTTTCCTGATACTGTAATCCTTGTGTTCAGTGTAGTCTTATTAAAATTGTATAGTTCTTTTAGGACTTTTTCCTAAATCACTCTGGAAAACAAAGCTATGTTGAAGTCATTTTGTTAAATTATGGTAAAATTTACATACAATAACATTCACCATTTTTAGGTGTACAGTTTGGTAAATTTTCAAAAAATGTATATAGTCATAAATCAAGATTTGACTGGGCACAGTGGCTCATGTCTATAATCCTAGTAGTTTGGGAGATGGAGTTAGGAGGATCACTTGAGGCCAGAAGTTTGAGAACAGCCTGGGCAACATAGTGAGACTGTGTTCATATAGAAAAAGAAATTAACTAATTAATCAAGATTTATATTTCACCATACCTAGCAGTTTCCGTATGTTCCCCTGTAGTTAGTCTCTTCTTCTCCACAGACCCTTCCTTACATCGTCAGGTCCTAGTAAATGCTCATGTGTTTTTATATCTGTGATTTTGCTTTTTCAGAAATGCAAAGAACAGTAAGTTATTTCTGGCTTCTTTCATTTACCATAATGCTTTTGAGATGCATCCATGTTGTTGCATTTATCAGTAGTCATCTTCTTCTTGCTACACATTGTCCCACTGTATGAATGCACCACAAGTGGGGGGCATTTAAGTTTTTGCCATTTTAATCATCACAAATGAAGGTTGTGTCAATATTCATGAAAGATCTTTGTGCTGATATATATTTTCATTTATTTTTGATAAATGCTTAAGAATGAGAGTGCTAGTCATAAGGTAAGTGTGTACAAAATGTTATTATTAAAAAACTGCCATGTTATTTCTAAAGTAGCTGTATAATTTCACATTCCCACCATAAAAATGTTAACATTTCAAATTTATTCGTATGATCCCAATGCATGGTATTTTCTTTTAAATTTTATCAATTCTTGAATACTCCTGAGCAGTAACAGGAACTGTTGTTACAATGCCAGAAAGTGGGCAGGTGAATCTCAAGCACATTCTATACATTGAGTCAAAGAAGCCATTACAAAAACAATTGCATACTGTTTGATAGAACATATATTTATTTATCCCTGAAAATACAAACTGTAATGATAGAAAAACAGATTGTTAAAATTCATGAAACTGTACATGGAAAGAATAAAAAGAACCATAATTATATGATATTTTAGAAAGAAATTTAAAAATGAAACCTTTAAATTTTTTAAATTTTAGTAAGAATGTAGAAATTTTATCATGGATTTAATTTGCATTTCCCTGATGTTTAATAATGTTGAACATATTTTCATATTCTTATTTGCCATTGCTACATGTTTTTTAAGTGACTATTCAAATCTGTTGTCCAGTTTCTTTCGTTGGGTATCTATTTTTTTTTAATTAAGTGTTCTGTATATTTTCTAGATAGCAGTCTTTTATTAGATATCTGTTACACGAATATTTCTCTCAGTCTATGACTTGTGTTTACATTCACTTAACAATATCTTACAAACAGCACTATTTCCTCATTTTGACATACCTCAGATGGTCATTTTTTCCCATTTCTAGTCCATACTACTTTGTCCTATTTAAAAAAATCTTTAATCAAAGGCACCAAATACTGTCTTCTAATTATCCTTCTGCAAGTGTTATTATTTTTAGTTTCTATGCTTAGATCTATGACTTTGTGTATGGTGTTAGATTTTATTTTTATAGAGTATTTAGTTTTTCCATTATCTTTGCTAAAGCAACACTATTTTGCCCATTTCATTATCTTGACACCAGTTGTGGAAAATCAGCTGAACACACAAGCACATTTTTCTTGTAACTATTCTAAACCATTGATTTAATGTACATCTTAGGCCAATTGCACGCTCTTTTGATTATTGCTCTTTATAGTAAGTCTTAAAATCAGCTATTTTAAGTTCACCAACTGTATATTTTTTATTTGAAAATGGTTTGATTAGTCTAGGTCCTTAGCTTCTCAACATGTATTAAACTCTTAGGGTGTCAAGTATCTTTGAATCTATAAAGCAACTGGGAAGAATGATCATATTAACAATATTAAGTCTTCCAGTCCATGAAAATGTCACATATCTAAATTGATTTAGATTTTTAAAATTTCTGTCAATAATATTTTAGATTTTTTAAAATCTTTATGTATTTTTCATGTTCCTAATGCTAAAGTAAATGGTATTGTTGCAGCTTTCTTGAGGTATGTATTCACGATAAATTTCACCTATTTTAAGTATAAAGCTTGATGATATTTGGTAAATATTTGCAGATGTGCAACCATCAACATAACCAAATTTTAGAATATTTCCATACTCCAATAGTATTCCTGTATGTCTCTTTGCAGTTAATTTCTGCCCCTACTCCTGGTCTTAGGCAACAACTTATCTATTTTCTGTTGATCTAATTTTCCATTTGTTGTGTAAATAGGATATTTAATTATTTTGTGCCTCATTTCTTTCACTTAGCATGCTGTTTTGAGATTAATTCATGTTGTTTCATATAGCATTAGTTTCTTTCATTTTATTACTGAGTAATATTCCATTACGTAGACAAACCATCTTTCCTATACAACTCTTGGTGAACAGATATATTCTTCGCGGTATTGCCTATTATAAATTTTGCTGCTGTGAATATCTGTGTACAAATCTAGGTAGGCATATGATTTCACTTATCCTGGTAGTAGAATACATTAGTCATGTATGCCAGATGCAGTGGCTTACACCTGTAATTCAGGCCGAGGCAGGAGCTGAGCCCAGGAGTTTGAGACCAGCTGGGGCAACATAGCAAGAGCCTGTCTTTAAAAAATTTTTAAAAAGATAAAATAGTCAGGTATGGTGGCATGTGCCTGTATTTCCAGCTTCTAGGGAAGCTGAGGGAGGAGGATTACTTAAGCAAGGGAGTTTGAGGCTACAGTGAGCAATGATCATTCCACTGCATTCCAGCCTGCACAACAGAGCTAGATCAGTCTCTAAAATAAATGAATAAATGAATACGTAAATAAGTTATGTAGGAAGAAAATGTCGACTTTAATAAATACTTCCAACACTTCTTTTTTTTTCAAAAATGGCTGTACCATTTTTCTTGTCTTTTTGAGAATAAAAAGAACGCCATTTCTTATTGTTCAGTCTCTTTCCATACCCTTGCCTACACTTCATATTTGCAGCATCTTCTATTTTTTGCTATTCTTGTGCATGTATATTGGTATCTCATTTTGTTTTTAATTTGCTTTTACCTGATATCCAATGATGTTGAGCATTTATTGTGAGGTTGCTTTTCAAATATTCCCTCACTTTTTGATATTAATTTGTACTATTGAGTTCATCCTTTTATATTGAGAAACCCATATCATGCTTCTATATGAATCTTTTAAAAATATCTTATTTTAATCTGTCATGTCTTTTGATTTTCTTAATAATGTATTACAAAAAGTAGAAAATTATGTTTTATTGATTCTGATTTATCAAATATTTTCTTTTATAATAATGCTCCTTGTAGCCTAAAAATTCTCTGTCTCCTCCAAAGCCTTGAATGTTTCTTTCTAAATATATTTTTTTCTAAAACTTTTATAGTTTTAGGTTTTACTTCAAGTCTCACAAACCAATTCATGATCATTTTGTGTAGGTTTGGAAGAAATTTTTCAAGTTTCTTTCCATATGAAAAGTTAGTTTCTCCAGTACCATATGTTCTTCCCTCAGACCTTGTCAAGTCCTTGAATATTCATAGTTCAAAGGGGACAGTCTCAGTTTTCTACTGTAAACATTTCTTGTCAATACCTACCCAGTGAAGGCCCATGGTAGAGTGACGGCAAAAAGTGTGAACTTCTTATATACCTGGTTTGCACAGAATTATAAATGCAAGTCCATTCTTGGCCCTTAACAATTTGTTATATTTCAGTCATTTTTTTCTTATCCACTTTTATAGCTTCCAACTCTTTCTCCTGTGATCTGTCATATACAAAATGACTATGTGTCCTACTCATGTGTTCCTTCTTTCCTTCAAGTGTGTTGTATCCATTTGTAGTTCAGTCCACCTGCATGCCTTGATCCCTCAGCTTTCAGATGAAGAGAAAAGATTATAATTTTGTTTATTTTGTTTTTTTCTTGTTTTAAATGTGACTGTGAACATTTTTTTTGCTACCTTCTATACCCTAAAAGGAATCAGTACCCACACAAGTAAATTTTGCAAAGGAACATTAAATAAGTATGCTTTATGAAACTACAGTCAATCTGCTAATCTTCTTTGAACCTTATACTATGCCTATGAGTGTTCTACAGGCTTTTTCAAGTTATAAAATGTAAACTTTATCTGGATCCTGCAACTCAAATATTGTTTTAGGAGAAAGATAATGCAGTACAGGTATTTGAAGACTGAAAAGCATGGGGCATACTCTCATGTTAATAAGAATTTAGAGTGAAAACATCTTAATGTGGACTAGTAAGAGGAAATTATTTCCTATAGAAGCTGGGAATTGATCAGGATCCTGAATATTGTGTACCAATTGGGTGAGTAGAAGCTAAAGGGCCACAAATTTCAGTAAAGGCAGCAGCATGAACAAACATCACAGTTGTACTGGGCAAGTGAGAGTACAGTAGCCTACCCTAAAAGCAACCCTTAATTTTCCTTTGAGAGATGATCAAATATGAAAGTGAACTTATGTTAAACACTTACAAATTGTCATTATTTTTATCTTCAAATCTTTCAATTTCTTAGTACTATGTTTATTGTAAACTAAGTATTTACATGACATAATCTCTTTATGAAATATACTGATGTTGACCTTATTAAAAACCATGGGTAAGAGATAATGTTATTTGAATCCTCAGTTTACAAATGACCTACATCTTGTCCCCATTGGATTCTCCCCAAATACACATAGTCAGAAATATGTTATTTTTGTTGATTTTAATTAAATAACATGAAGTAATTTATCTGGAGCTTATCCAATAAGGATATGGAATGTTCACAAGTCATTGTACCCAGATTTAAAGATAAAAGAGAGCTTTGTGTTTATGTTCATAAAATTCATATATAAACATATGACTATATATATAATTTTATATATATATATATATGTTTCCAAAAGCGGTACTGTGACACCAAACTCTTGAATAAGTATTTTCAAAATAAATGGTAAATTCACAGGCCTTATAATTTTCTGATGAATGCAGATGAGCATTTTTATCATCACCAATTCATGGTTATGAAAAATCCCTCAGAGCAGTTAAGTAACATGTTTGGCTTATTCCAGATGCTGGATTCTCCTCATCAGGCATACTCAGCCACATCACCTTCTTCAAGCAGTCAGTATTGTGGGAGATGGTAAAGAACATTTAAGTGTACATTTCTCCCTAGAATTGTGCTTAAATGGACCAGAGTGTTTTCCAGGATTATGGAAAATTTCAGAATGTGCTTTTTCTATGTATTCCAATTTACCAACCACAAACCTAATATGGTTCTAGGCTAAAGGATTATCTCAGTGAAGTAAGTGTAAATCTTGCCTAGTTGAGCAAAAAATCCTACTTCTGAGCCTCTCAGAGTCCATCAGGCATCAGGCTGGGACAAAAGAGTTAATGCTTCAGAATGAAACCAACGCACCTCTCTAGTGTTGAACACTGCATCCAATGTATTTGGGTGAATTTTGTTGTTTTCAACTTTTTCTGCTATGATAAAAAGATCATTAAAGACTTAAGCATCCTCAGAGTAGCTCAAAAACTTAATTCTAGTAAAATAGCAAGTGTCATCATTAACAATAAAAGGCAGTACTGGGATCTATTATTGCAGTCAGGCTTTCGAAGTTTTGTTATCATTCTTAATCCTGAATAGTTCATCAGAGAGACACAAGGAGTAGCTGTTTCATTCAAATTACCACCATCTGGGGCTCAATTATTCTACAAAAATATGAGATCTATGCTCTTTATTTGTGATAAGTAGATACACATGGGATTTTCAAAAACAGAGCTTTTAGATTACAGGACATCACATTTTTAACATGGATAATGAGATAGCATATAAAATAAGGTGACTCAGTATGATATTGGCTGTGGGTTTGTCATAGATAGCTCTTATTATTTTGAGATACATCCCATCAATACCTAATTTATTGAGGGTTTTTAGCATGAAGGGTTGTTGAATTTTGTCAAAGGCCTTTTCTGCATCTATTAAGATAATCATGTGGTTTTTGTCTTTGGTTCTGTTTATATGCCGGATTACATTTATTGATTTGTGTGTATTGAACCAGCCTTGCATCCCAGGGATGAAGCCCACTTGATCATGGTGGATAAGCTTTTTGATGTGCTGCTGGATTCGGTTTGCCAGTATTTTATTGAGGATTTTTACATCAATGTTCATCAAGGATATTGGTCTAAAATTCTCTTTCTTGGTTGTGTCTCTGCCAGGCTTTGGTATCAGGATGATGCTGGCCTCATAAAATGAGTCAGGGAGGATTCCCTCTTTTTCTATTGATTGCAATAGTTTCAGAAGGAATGGTACCAGTTCCTCCTTGTACCTCTGGTAGAATTTGGCTGTGAATCCATCTGGTCCTGGACTCTTTTTGGTTGGTAAGCTATTGATTATTGCCACAATTTCAGATCCTGTTATTGGTCTATTCAGAGATTCAAATTCTTCCTGGTTTAGTCTTGGGAGAGTGTATGTGTCAAGGAATTTGTCCATTTCTTTTAGATTTTCTAGTTTATTTGCGTAGAGGTGTTTGTAGTATTCTCTGATGGTAGTTTGTATTTCTGTGGGATCGGTGGTGATATCCCCTTTATCATTTGTTATTGCATCTACTTGATACTTCTCTCTTTTTTTCTTTATTAGTCTTGCTAGCGGTTTGTTGATCCTTTCAAAAAACCAGCTCCTGGATTCATTAATTTTTTGAAGGGTTTTTTGTGTCTCTATTTCCTTCAGTTCTGCTCTGATTTTAGTTATTTCTTGCCTTCTGCTAGCTTTTGAATGTGTTTGCTCTTGCTTTTCTAGTTCTTTTAATTGTGATGTTAGGGTGTCAATTTTGGATCTTTCCTGCTTTCTCTTGTGGGCATTTAGTGCTATAAATTTCCCTCTACACACTGCTTTGAATGTGTCCCAGAGATTCTGGTATGTTGTGTCTTTGTTCTCGTTGGTTTCAAAGAACATCTTTATTTCTGCCTTCATTTCATTATGTACCCAGTAGTCATTCAGGAGCAGGTTGTTCAGTTTCCATGTAGTTGAGCAGTTTTGAGTGAGTTTCTTAATCCTGAGTTCTAGTTTGATTGCACTGTGGTCTGAGACACAGTTTGTTATAATTTCTGTTCTTTTACATTTGCTGAGGAGAGCTTTACTTCCAAGTATGTGGTCAATTTTGGAATAGGTGTGGTGTGGTGCTGAAAAAATTGTATATCATACTGAATGGGCAAAAACTGGAAGCATTCCCTTTGAAAACTGGCACAAGACAGGATGCCCTCTCTCACCACTCCTATTCAACACAGTGTTGGAAGTTCTGGCCAGGGCAATTAGGGAGGAGAAGGAAATAAAGGGTATTCAATTAGGAAAAGAGGAAGTCAAATTGTCCCTGTTTGCAGATGACATGATTGTATATCTAGAAAACCCCATTGTCTCAGCCCAAAATCTCCTTAAACTGATAAGCAACTTCAGCAAAGTCTCAGGATACAAAATCAATGTACAAAAATCACAAGCATTCTTATACACCAATAACAGACAAACAGAGAGCCAAATCATGAGTGAACTCCCATTCACAATTGCTTCAAAGACAATAAAATACCTAGGAATCCAACTTACAAGGGATGTGAAGGATCTCTTCAAAGAGAACTACAAACCACTGCTCAATGAATTAAAGAGGATACAAAAAAATGGAATAACATTCCATGCTCATGGGTAGGAAGAATCAATATCATGAAAATGGCATACTGCCCAAGGTAATTTATGGATTCAATGCCATCCCCATCAAGCTACCAATGACTTTCTTCACAGAATTGGAAAAAAACTACTTTAAAGTTCATATGGAACCAAAAAAGAGCCCGCATCGCCAAGTCAATCCTAAGCCAAAAGAACAAAGCTGGAGGCATCATGCTACCTGACTTCAAACTATACTACAAGGCTACAGTAACCATAACAGCATGGTACCGGTACCAAAACAGAGATATAGATCAATGGAACAGAACAGAGCCCTCAGAAATAACGCTGCTTATCTACAACTATCTGATTTTTGACAAACCTGAGAAAAACAAGCAATGGGGAAAGGATTCCCTATTTAATAAATGGTGCTGGGAAAACTGGCTAACCATATGTAGAAAGCTGAAACTGGATCCCTTCCTTACACCTTATACAAAAATTAATTCAAGATGGATTAAAGACTTAAACATTAGACCTAAAACCATAAAAACCCTAGAAGAAAACCTAGGCATTACCATTCAGGACATAGGCATGGTCAAGGACTTCATGTCTAAAACACCAAAAGCAATGGCAACAAAAGCCAAAATTGACAAATGGGATCTAATTAAACTCAAGAGCTTCTGCACAGCAAAAGAAACTACCATCAGAGTGAACAGGCAACCTACAAAATGGGAGAAAATTTTCGCAACCTACTCATCTGACAAAGGGCTAATATCCAGAATCTACAATGAACTCAAACAAATTTACAAGAAAAAAACAAACAACCCCATCAAAAAGTGGGCGAAGGATATGAACAGACACTTCTCAAAATAAGACATTTATGCAGCCAAAAAACACATGAAAAAATGCTCACCATCACTGGCCATCAGAGAAATGCAAATCAAAACCACAATGAGATACCATCTCATACCAGTTAGAATGGCAATCATTAAAAAGTCAGGAAACAACAGGTGCTGGAGAGGATGTGGAGAAATAGGAACATTTTTACACTGTTGGTGGGACTGTAAACTAGTTCAACCATTGTGGAAGTCAGTGTGGTGATTCCTCAGGGATCTAGAACTAGAAATACCATTTGACCCAGCCATCCCATTACTGGGTATATACCCAAAGGACTATAAATCATGCTGCTATAAAGACACATGCACACGTATGTTTATTGCGGCACTATTTACAATAGCAAAGACTTGGAACCAATCCAAATGTCCAACAATGATAGACTGGATTAAGAAAATGTGGCACATATACACCATGGAATACTATGCAGCCATAAAAAATGATGAGTTCATGTCCTTTGTAGGGACATGGATGAAATTGGAAATCATCATTCTCAGTAAACTATCCCAAGGACAAAAAACCAAACACCGCATGTTCTCACTCATAGGTGGGAATTGAACAATGAGAACACATGGACACAGGAAGGGGAACATCACACTCTGGGGACTGTTGTGGGGTGGGGGAAGGGGGGAGGGATAGCATTAGGAGATATACCTAATGCTAAATGACGAGTTAATGGGTGCAGCACACCAGCATGGCACCTGTGTACATATGTAACTAACCTGCACATTGTGCACATGTACCCTAAAACTTAAAGTGTAATAATAATAAAATAAAAAAATTTTAAAAAAATAAATAAAATAAGGTGACTCAGCTAGTTTCTCCAGAATAACTGACAACTGGTTACCAATGAATTGGGGGCAATATGATGATGTACACTATATTTTCTCACCTTCCTCAGAATTTCTTGGCAATTATGAATTCTAGATCTGGACACATGAATTACATTTCAAACATTGTTGAAATATCTTTCAAAAGTTGATCTCGGAGAGGCAGTGAATTATTTTGAATAATATAAGATTATTGAATCAGACATACCTAACTAAAGAATTGTCCACAAGGATATTTCTTATCTTCTCTGATTCTGAGTTTCCCACATTGAGTACGTATGATAAATTCAATTTTGCAATATGTGTGCCAAGATTAGAATTAATACAAGTATCATATCTGACACATATCAGTGACTCCACAAATGTAGCTTTTTGCTATTATAAGTACTAGCAGAAATTATCTTATGATTGTACTTCTAGCATAAAAGATTGGAAAGTATTGTGAATATGGAGCCTTGACACCTGAGTTCTGTGAGGATTTTTGTGACTCTCTCAATCTGAAGTTGTTCATTTGTTAAATAAATAGGTACAGGTAATATCCCCACAGCTGTACTAATTACCCCAAAACTATCATTCTGTGATTAAATATGTAGATTGTCCATCTAAAAAATCAAAATGACGAGAATTCTAGGCCACTGGAATCTATGTTAAAGTATGAAAACACATATGAAATATGAGAAACAACAGAATCAGTAGGGACAAGGAGAATAAAACAGTAGATAAATGAAGGAAAATAGAGATAAATGTATAATTTGTGAATATGGTACAAGAGCAATTATTAAATTAAAGTTAAAATGAGACAAAGAACTTAGATAATCCGCATAACTTTTAAATTAAAAAAAATTGCAACAAGGAGTTTAACATTAGTTAGTATACTTTGGTAAGAATTAGTTATTTTCCTCTGAAGATCTAGAGAATAGCATGAATAATTATACAGGGATGTGGAAGAAAGGAGGTAGTGAAAGGCTCAATACTTAAGAAGAATTAGACTTTATCAAGCATGTTGGACAATTAGAAGTAATATAAAAAGCCTAAAATTTTGGAGTGTTGAATAGAAGCTTCTGAAAACCAGAAAAGAACTTAGAACATCAGTGTGTCCTGTTCTGTGTTCAGGATCTCATGCACTACTTTGTGCTTGGAATATGCCATATGGGGAATAAGGAAAATAGCAGAAATAAACAATGGTGGAAGCAAGACAATGGAAATTATTTTTTATTAATATCATAAAAATTTAAAGTAAAAATATTAAATTATAATTTACACATAGGTAATTAGATACTTAAAGCTAGCATTATATAACTTTAATTTTCCAAAGGTAGTTTTAGGAATTCTATGGTTTATTTGTAGGTTTTAAAAATAGTTTCCCCAAAGAATGAATGCCTGTTATGATTTTCTTCTTTGCATCACCACAATTTTCATCATTATAAGCACTCTAGAAGTGTAACTTTTCCACATCGTTCATCTTGATGAGGCATTGTATTTTTAGAGATGGCTGAATATTTTTACCTGTGCAATGGAGTTTCTCTATAAATAGCAGAAAGGTATTTAGAAAAAAATGTTATTTTGAAATTCATGTAAAGACGTAGTTCTCTCTCATTAAAGTGTGAGTTTATTCTCCTGCTAAGGAAATATCACTGCAAAAATTCTTCTAGAATGAAAGAGGCTGATGCTAGAGGCAGACAAAAGCAAACAATTTCATGAACAATATATCAAAAAGCATATTTCTAATGAAGGTTAAATATTAGCATTATGCAATAAATGTAATGCCCCATTTAAGATTTGCTCTTTCGAGTTGTGTCCGTTTTTGGTATCTGATACTAAATTTTTCTGACCAAATGCATACTTTATTTGTAAATCAATTCTCAGTTAT
Organism: Homo sapiens; assembly: GCF_000001405.40. Taxonomy (NCBI): domain Eukaryota; kingdom Metazoa; phylum Chordata; class Mammalia; order Primates; family Hominidae; genus Homo; species Homo sapiens. Next base: position 56,714,141 of record NC_000010.11, read on the forward strand.
CATCCATATAAAAATCTTTCTATAACTTTTTATCTTCATTCACTGCTCAAGATATTGTTACTATTGAAAGCTCAATTTCACTCTGAGGCAGAAGAGCAATTCATCATCTACATTCCATCTTTGGCTCTTCTATGCTCTGCCCTCTCTTTTGGATCTCAATCTCAAGAATGTTTTAAACTGTGGCTTCCTATAGTGTTGTACCAATGTCCTAGCATGACTGCCCATGTGGACTACATTCTTTACTACTGTTCAGTTTATAAGTGTCACATGTGCATTGCAAAACTAAGGTACTCTGAGAAACAATTCAAATTATAACTAAATCGTGGAGCTCTATAGTACATGTTAGCATATTAAAAACAGAAATCCCAGATCAAGGAAAGCTAATTAACTTTTTAAAATTAGTGTTTCCTAATCATAATTGAGCTTTTGGGTTTATAATATCTGTTCATTTCCTACATAATTTGCATTGTCTAAAACACATTTTTGATTATTGCTTTGCCTTAAATTTACGTTCTATCAAAAATAGATGATAGCTTAATATGGTTCTTTTACAAAGGGTTTGAAATTTATCAAAGCTTCCTAAAGATGCAGTTTTTTTTTTTAATTGGTGTTGGCACACTACAGTTCCTAGGAAAAAAATTGTTCTATTGCCTATATTTGTAAATAAAGTTTACTGGAACACTGCCACATCCATTTATATTTACGTATTCTCTATGACTTCTTTAGTTCTATAAAAACTAAGACAAGTAGTTGTAATGAAGACCTTATCGCCCACAAAATAAAAAATACTTACTAACTCGCCCTTTTTCAAAAAAAACTTGCCAACTCCTGCTATAGGATAAAATTATAATGGCAATTTGAAAGGCTCTGGAGCAGGACCACAGATTTTCCTTTTAATACAGATTATTTTTTAGGAATACCCCTTAGATCACACCAAGGGACAAGATAAAATATTGTTGCTTTGGTCCAAGAGCCACTCTCAAATTTGCAAGATTGAGATGCAGTTATTCAAATCAAAGTCAAAGATAAACAATATTTGCATACAGAGAAATATATAACCTATTTGTATTGACTTTACTTCTGGGATCACATGACCAACACACTCTCCGTTTAAATTTATTTATTAAATCTATAATATAAGACTTCTGACAACTTGTAGGAAACTGATTAAACTTTTAAGAGAGGGAAATGCGATGCTAAAGGGTAAGGTTCAGTCTCCTCTTTCTACTTATCAGGAAGCATTGCAACATATCATATTTAGCTAACCCCAAATAAGCCTGCTCACTCTGTGTACCATTCATCAGAAGGAGAACTGAGACAATCAACAGGGATGGATTAGTGCAGACACATCAGTACTCATGAGTCTAGATTAGTAACATAATTCTCACGCATGAAAGAGCACATTTATGCAGAGACAGCTAAATTATTAAGTTTCAATTCTACATGTTTCAAAACAGTCCTTTAAAAATAATTGCTGTCATTACTATAGTAGTATTTCAGAATAATCATGAGGCTGTTGATTTATATTCTCACTTTTAAAATTCCATCAGCCATTTCCCTAAAGTAAAAAGATTTCACTGGCTTAACTCTCCAAAGATATACATCACATTTATATTTTATAGTACTTGAATTTTTTTTTATTATACTTTAAGTTTTAGGGTACATGTGCACATGGTGCAGGTTAGTTACATATGTATACATGAGCCATGCTGGTGCGCTGCACCCACTAACTCGTCATCTAGCATTAGGTATATCTCCCGATGCTATCCCTCCCCCTCCCCCCACCCCACAACAGTCCCCAGAGTGTGATATCCCCCTTCCCGTGTCCATGTGATCTCGTTGTTCAATTCCCACTTATGAGTGAGAATATGCGGTGTTTGGTTTTTTGTTCTTGCGATAGTTTACTGAGAATGATGATTTCCAATTTCATCCATGTCCCTACAAAGGACATGAACTCATCATTTTTTATGGCTGCATAGTATTCCATGGTGTATATGTGCCACATTTGAATATTTTTTCACTGAATTAAATTTTTGAGAAATAAAGTACAAATTTGAGTTTATGTTAATGAATTTAGTGATGAATTACTCTTTGTCTCATTTGGAATTTTGTATTGGCAAAATGACTGCTAGGAATCTAAGACATCGCCATATTCTAATTTGATATATATTTTCCAGGTATTTTTATTAGTACTTATGATAAAGAGTAAAGAGTATTTTTTCATAAAATTTTGAGGTTACAATATTTGTATTTACACAGGAAAATATTTTTGACACTAAATATTAGCTGAGCATTAAGTTTTTCAAATTTATCACTTAAGCAAGGTACAACAAGGTTTTTTATAATACCAGAAGGATGACTATTATTTGCAGTATTTATATGCGTATTTTTTGTGCACCATTATAAGATTCAACAAATCTATTACAAACATAGATTCCAGGAACTTTAACCTTTCAGCTGATTTTTTTTTCAATAAGCACACCAGTAGTGTCATCAGGTAAAATACAAGAGATTCAACTAAATTTAAATTACAAATAAACAACATGTAAATATTTAGTATAAATATGCCCCAAATATTATGTTACATATTTACACTGAAAAAAAAGAAAAACAGAAAAAAAAAAAAACCTGTTCATAAAAAATCCAGTTTTATTTTGGCTTAAAACGAGAAATTTATCCTATTGCTTGCTAGTTAGAAGTTTTTAGTTTAAAATCAAGGTGTCAGCAAGGCTATGTTCCTCTCTGGAAGCTCTAGAAAATAATTTATTGTCTTGAGGTTTCCACCTTCTAAAAGTCATCCATAGGCCTTGGCTTATGGCCTTCTTTCTGAATCTTAAAACCAGACAAGTTGCATCTCTTCAACCTCTTGTATTCAACTCTTCCTCTGACTACAGCCACAAAAGGCTCTCTGATTTTAAGGACCCAGTGAGTTTAGCTCGAGCCTACCCATATAATCCAGAATAACTCTCTTATCCCTAGGTACTTAATTGATTCACATATGCAAAGTCCCTTTTTGATGTAAGTTACCATGTCCACAGATTCCTGGAATTCAGATTTGAACATCTTTGAGGGATCAGTACTCTGCTTCCAACAATGGTTTGCAAAAGATCCAGGCTAAACCTGAAGCTAAAAAACACTGCTCTAGACAATTCATTTTTCTCAGCCATGGATACATACTAGAATCCCCTGGGAAGCACCAAACAAAAACACCATCCTAGACCAACTGAATCAGTATCAGAGGGTGCAAGGCCCAGCATCTGCAATTTTTTAAGTCTCCCAAGTTGATCTCAACTAGTGTAGGGCAAGGGTTGGCAATGTATGGCCTGCAGACTAAATTTGGCTAGCATACTGTTTGTATGGTTTTGTTTAACTTTTTATTATAAATTTGTATAGTTACAAATTTTACATCATGAAATTTATTCTCAAAGTGTTTAATTTAGTGGTCTTTTATAATATTTAGAATTTGTGCCAGTGTCTCCACTAGTTAATTCCATCACACTTTTATCATTCCAAAGAGAAACTTTGTACCGATTAGCAGTCACTACCCATGTCTTCTCTACCATCACCCCTTGGCAACTACTTACTAGCTTTCTGTCTTTACAGATTTGCCCATTCTCGATATTTTATGTAAATAGGATCATGCAATATATGACCTATGTGTTGGCTTCTTTTGCTTAGCATAACTTTCACCTATTTTGTATCATGAATCAGAATTTCATTCCTTTCTGTGACTGAATGAAATTCAAATTTAACTGGGCTTCTTGTACTTTTATTTATTAAATCTAGTAACTCTACACACTAGTGTAATTTTAGTATAAAAATAGACAGGCTTGATCTTCGCTAAAGCAATAAAATTCTAAGTGCTTCCTAATTTTACCTCTGCATTCTTTTTAACATTCCAGTAAGGTCCGTAATTGTCTATCAGACTGTGAGGCTGTTTACCGCAACATTTATAGCAGTATATCAGATATCTTGTCTGTCTCTAGACATCTAATTTTCCCTTCATTCTTCCTTAGAAAATCCCCAATTTTTATTTGTAAACGTAGTCATACAGGATTTAAAAACTTCATGCCACAGGCTTCTAATCAAACAGTGTGGCATTCTGACTAAGTTCTAGTCAAAGGGATACAAGCAGAGGTATCTTGTTTTGCTTATGGGAACTATCTTTAATGGGACAGGATATGTGTCTTCGTTTTTCCTTCATTTTTTATGCTGACTCAAATGTGGTGTCATGGCTAAAATTTGAGCAGCCACCTTAGGTCATAAGGAAAAAACTCATGAGAAAATATTTAAGGAACACTTATTCCCAATGGTAACAGTGACTACATACACTCCTGGACTGCTTACTTCCAGATTCTATTTTGGCAAGAAAAAAAAACTTCTTCTGTCTTATTTAGTTTTTATTATTTGAGTTTTCAATTACTTACAGCTGAACATAATCTTTACTGTTATGGACGATAAAGTGCACATGCACACACACACACACACACACACACACACACACACACACACACTAAGCCATACACAAAGAAGTAGCTTTTAATAGTTAAAATCTTACTTTGATGTATGAACACCATGAGTTACTGTAATTACTTTTTGTATACAAATCTATAAATGATATATATTCACTTACATGTTTTTATTTTTAATCTGATTAAATTTCAGACAGAAAAGTTCCAAGAATCTCATAAGTAATTACAGAATATTAACATTACTCAGATATAACATTTTTCTATAGTACAGTTTTCCTATAAGTACATTTCAGTCTTATGTCTTTGTGCCTCTTTTTCTTAGTACTTTAGTGCATATTTCTTTAAAACAAACAGCAAAAAAAAACACCTTTATCTCAAATTCCCAAAATAAGATTTTGAAAACAAGAAAATTAACATTAATAAAACACTATTTTCTAATTTACAGATTTTATTCAAATATCATCATCTGTCCCAATAATATTATTTATGACAAAATAAAATCTTGCAAAGGCATTATATTCATATGCCATGTCTTTATCCTTTTTTTAATACAGAATGTTGTTGCTGCAATTATTTTTCTTTCAAGATGTTGATGCTTTGGAAGAGTCCAGGCCATTATTTTGTGGAAATAGTGGGTTTCTAAAAGCAGATTTGGCCTGTTCCAAGTCTGGGATAATTTCAATATCAAAATAATTATAGTAAAGGATTAAGACCCATGGAATAAAATAGGAATCCCAGAGCCCACACTGATGTAGATGGTAAATAAATAACAACACTGGTTTTAAATTCTGATTCTTCACAATGAAGAAAATGGTAAAAATTTTAAATCATGTGCGAGAGAGACTATTTTCTGAGTTCTATCAGATGTGATATCTCTTCTTCTTTGCTTGTGTAAGTTATTCTGATTGCTTTAGTGGCTCACTCTCTCCCTGGTCCACTACAATCAGCAGTGAAAATAATTTTTTTAATGAAAGGACTATATGAATTAGAGTTTCTATCTGTTTCTCAAAACTCAGATATTAAACACATATTCCAGAACCACTAAGTTTATTTCATGGTCCTAATCCCCCAGTAGGATTCTGAAATGTCTGTCACTAAGTGTATATTTGAGAATGATTTCTTGCTCCATGTTAATAAGCTTTCTGCTAACTGCCATCTTTAATACACCTATTGCTGTTTCTGAAAGCAGCCTGACCTCTGTTGCATGCTATAAAAGTGAGAAAAAAGTTTTAAAGAGTAGGGAAAATTGACTGATATATTGATTCAAAAGGTAAACAATTCCTTCCTGGGAAGAATATGAATGGCATTTGATTTTCTCTACAAGAGGAAAAAAGATTCCTCCTGCTATACTGTTTATCGATTATATATACACTCTCATGTGAGTTACATAATTTTTTACTAACAGTAATATGTGATCTTCTCCTAGAACTCAAAATTAATCATCAATTGTGTTAGATTCTTATTGCTGCTGAAAAATAAATTACCACAAATTCCATATTTTAAAACAGCACAAATTTATTTTCTTATTGCTTTGGAGGTCAAAAGTGGGAAATGAATATTATAGGGCTCAAATCAAGGTGCTGGCAAGGCTGCTTTCCTCTAGAGGCTCTAGGAGAGAAATCATTTCTTTCCTTTTCCATCTTCTAGAAGCTGCCCACATTCCTTGGTTCATGGCTCACATCTAGCAGTCGTATCACTCCAACCAACCACTTCTTTTGTAGTCACATCTTTGACCCCTCTATCTCCCTCGTTCCTTTATAAGGACCCTTGTTATTACACTGGGCCTACCCAGTTAATTCAGGAATATTTTCCCCTTTCAAAGTCCTTAACATAATCATATCTGCAAACCCCTTTTGCCATATAAGGTAACATATTCATCAGTTCCAGGGAGTCAAGATTTGAGAGCTATTATTCTCCCTAATGTACCAATCAAACCCAAATCCAAAGATTCTCCTGGCAGTGGACTACAATAAAATACAAAAACGTGAATGGATGAATGTTATGCACATCATTATATGACAGATTCTCTCAAGTTATAATTTCTTTTTTATTCAGTGCTTTCACTTTAGTAAATGCTGAATTTTGTGATGATGACGATGAAGTAAAAGCAGAAGCAGCAGAAGAAATTAAGTATGTGATCTACAGATAAACAGTCATAAGTAAACCTTTTATTTTTATCCTGGAATGATTTTGAAGTTAACCTGTCCATGTTATTCTTTTCTGTTACATTACACAAGTCACTATATTAACATGTCAATAAAGGATCCGAAATGGATTTACTAGTACCATAACAAATTTGATCCAATTAAAATATATTTCTTCTAAATTTTTGAAATTCAAACTACATAAATTTCAGCCACTCTCTGACCTTTAGCAAAATGTTCTATACTCACAACATCTTTCTCAGCTGGCAAGAAGCAAGCTCATATATTTCACCACTGGAGAAACTGAAACACATTTAAAGAGAAAAATAGCTTATTTTGGTTGCTGACAGAGTCAGAAATACACCAGTGTGACATTTTATTGAATTTACTGAAGTACATGTTACCTACAACATGCAGATGGTAGGTTCAAAACATTCTCATCTAAAGTGACAGGAATAGAGTTAAGAAATGCAAAAGTAAACTCTCAAAGTATATCACAGTATTGAGGCAGGCTGACCCAGAAGACACCTTTTCCTCTGGTTCTTGTCTAAGATCAGATGATCTGGAGTTCACTGGCTATGTTTTTTCGCTCTCCTATATATCAAGTTAATAAGTTTAGTATTGTATCATTTTTCTCTCCCTTAACTGAAGTAATTCTTTTCCAACATAAATAAGACAGGATAGGAATGGAGTTCAGAATCTGAGATGTCAATATCCTGACCACAAGGCCACCTGCCTCAATGCTTTGTGCTCACACTGCCCGAAATAAAAATAAAGATATACTACCTATTGATGTCAGAAGATAATTCAGAGTAGTACACAGACCAATATAGGAGATATTGGTTATTTTCTCTTCGCGTTAAGATCAAGAAACAATTTTATTTGCCTTGCATGCTGTGGAAGATTTTAGGTTTTCCAATTGCCTTTTTAAACTTCAACTATTCTTCTGTGTTTTACCTTTCTTTCTTGGCTGTCTGTACTTAGACATTAAAAACCTGAAACTTTACTACTTTCTAATTACTTAGATGAGTAAGTCAAACTTACCAGACACTCCATGATATTTCTCATATGATTTACATTAAATACAAAACCAAAGTTAAATTTGTGTGTTTGTTTTTCTTATGTTAATTATTCTTAGTTTATAGCAATAGTAATATATCAATAATTTTTAAACTGCTTTATTGAGGTATGATTGAAATACAAAATGATGTAGGTATTTAGTGTATACAACTTGATGTGCTTGGCGATAAATATACATTTGTTAAGCCATCATCACATTCAATGCTATAAACGTATCCATCACTGCTAAAAGGTTCTCTCCAACTCCTTTGGTTTTGCTTGTCTGTTTGTTTTGTTTTTACTTTCACAGTGTAAATCCTTAACATAAAATTTACCCCCTTAGCAAATTATCAAGTAAGCAATATAGAATTTTCAATTATAGGTTCTATGTCATACAATAAATCACTAGAATTTATTTATCTTGCATACCTAATTTACAATTCATTTACTAAGTTTATTTCTCCAAATAACAAAGTCTCCTATTTTTAGGAATTCACTCAGTTCAATTTAAAGAATATTGGTTTAAATGTTAGCATGCACAAGACATTATTCTTTTAACTTAGATATTACCATTAGTGCAACTCAACTGAATACTTCCTATCTGTTCTTAAATATGGTGGAGAATATAGGCGAAAAAGTAAATATAATCATTGACTTAAAATACCTACAACCATGGTAAATTAATAATGTATTCACATGTGAAACTCAAAGTCTTTGTAAGGGTTTTGGACATGTAAAATCTATAAAATTTGGGGCATTCCATGTATTTCTATTTGTATTTCAAGAAACAGGGAAGATCCTGGCTGATACCTGACTTTTTATAATAATTATTAATATTTAGCGTTTACTTTGAGCTGATCTCTAGAAACTCACATGTTGGCCATTAGCTCATTTATTTCTGAGATGAAAATTTATATTCTGATAGCTTTGTCTCTGCTTTTGGCCACCTGCACTCTTTTATGTCCATTCTTCTTCAAAAATAGGAAAATATTAAAGACAGGTGTAATTCTAAAATCCAAATCATTACAAGGAAAACGAGTATCTTTGATAAGAAGGGCTGGAATACATATTCAAAGTATCTTAAGTGGTTGTGTGCTATACCACATAATAAATGGGAAAGAAGTTCACAATCATGCCTCCTTTAACAAGAGGGATGCATTGTGAGAAATATGTTAATAGATGGTATCACTGTTGTGCCTTCATCATACAGTTTATTTTCACAAATCTAGATAGTGTAGACCAGGGGTCCCCAATCCCCAGGCTGCAGATGTCCCTGGCTTGTTACGAATTTGGCTGCACAGCAGGAGGCGAGCCGCCTGCAAGAGAGCATTTCCACCTGAGATCCACCTCCTGTCAGATCAGTGGCAGCATTAGATTCTCACTGGAGTCGGAACCCAGTTGTGAACTGTGCATGCGATGGATTTAGGTTGCATGCTCTTTATGAGAATCCGAATAACGCCTGATGATCTGAGGTGAAGCAGTTTCATCCCAAAACCATTCCCCACACCTCCCATCCATGGAAAAATTGTCTTCCAGAAAAACTGTTCCCTGGTGCCAAAAAGGTTGAGGACTGCTGATATAGATTACTACACACTCAGGCATACACCTATGGTATGCCTTCAAGGCTAATAATGTGTATAGCATATTTCTATATTGAATAATGTAGGCAATTATAACACAAAGATAGTTGTGTATCTAAACATATCTACCAATGGAAAAGGTAGGGTAAAATATGGTATTATACTCTTATGGAACCACTATCATATATTCAGTGTATCATTGACTGAAATGTGATTATGCACTGCATGACTGTAGTTCTCAATACACACACTTGAAAGACACTTTTCTCTCACAATTTTGAAGTTTCACAACCATCTCTTGTGAAAACACTTATGTTTAGGAATGATGAAATGGTCATTTCTCTGAATTCTAAAATTCCAATATATATTTATATCCAACTTGATGGGCAATCAAATATATCAGTCAAACAAACCATGGTCATAAAACTTTTAATTCCTTCACCTAAAATAATTATCTTACCCAACCTAGAGAGCTTCCTCTTTATTTTTTTATTTTTATTTATTTATTTATTTTTTGAGAGGGAGTCTCGCTCTGTCGCTCAGGCTGGAGTGCAGTGGCGCGATCTCGGCTCACTGCAAGCTCAGCCTCCCGGGTTCACGCCATTCTCCTGCCTCAGCCTCCCGAATAGCTGGGACTACAGGCGCCTGCCACTGTGCCCGGCTAATTTTTTTGTATTTTTAGTAGAGACGGGGTTTCACCTCGGCCTCCCAAAGTGCTGGGATTACAGGCTTGAGCCACCGCGCCCGGCCAGAGCTTCCTCTTTAAAAGGCTCTTTGTGTATGTGTTTGCATGTAGGTGTGTTTATGTAAAACAAATTATAACATAAGTTACGCTATTCCCTTCTGTGACAAATGCAAGTGCCAGAATCTCCCAGACTCAACACTTACTGAGATTTCCTTCTACTGAATTAATCAAAACAAGATCTCATGAGTTTTCAAATAGTTTGCACCTGTGCTTTGTTACATGTGATTTTATGTTTATTTGGGAAACAAAAAGACCTAATCAGAGGGAACTGAGAAGCCCATAAAACTGGCTAATTCAGACAAGACAGAGAAACAGTATAGAGGGAAAGTTATTTAAGAATAATCCATAGTTTACATATTTGTATCATTAGAACTAGAAGAGAGTATTAGCAAATTTATCTTATTACTTAGTATTGTGTCACATGGATTGCCACTGTCCCCTCAGATGAAATGTATTAAGAAAGATGAGGCCGGGCACGGTGGCTCACGCCTGTAATCCCAGCACTTTGGGAGGTCGAGGCGGGCGGATCACGAGGTCAGGAGATCTAGACCATCCTGGCTAACACGGTGAAACCCCGTCTCTACTAAAAATACAAAAAATTCGCCAGGCGTGGTGGCGGGCACCTGTAGTCCCAGCTACTCGGGAGGCTGAGGCAGGAGAATGGCGTGAACCCGGGAGGCAGAGCTTTCAGTGAGCTGAGATCGCCACTGCAATCCAGCCTGTGCGACAGAGACTCCGTCTCAAAAAAAACAAAGAAAGATTAATGTCCTGTTCTTATTTTCTAGAAAACTTTTTTTCTGAGAGTCTCTGTAATATATCAGTCTAGTCTGAATCATAATTTAACCAGTAAATCAAATACAGTAAAGCAAAGATGGCCAGGTGAGAGTTTTGTATATTAAGCACTTCGCACACAAGCCTAGAACACAGTAAATGCTTTATGCCTGTTCAAAGTGTGAATGACAAGGACTGAAAGAGGCAAGTTCTGGAGAAATCCAATGCTACAAATACAAGATAGGTATCTGATATATCAAATATTGCTTATAAACAAAAAAGAAGTAAAGAATAGAAATATAATTATTAATGATAGTTGTTTATTAAATACTCCTATCCAGCAACAGTGTGTTACATACAGGATTTCATTAATTCCTCCCTACTGCCCCATGAGTGCATGCTTTCATCTCCATTTAAGAGATGAGAAAACTGAACCATAACAGTTACAAATTTGCCAAATCTCACACAGCTTCCCAGGACGCATGTTGTAATCACTGTGGTATGCCAAACCAGAATAGCAACAAAAGCAAATGCAAATTACCAGGTGGACTGAAATTCACAAAGAACTTGCCATTACTGTAGTGAGTTATAGTTTATGTAGATAACTAAGAAAATTGCCTGATATCTAGTATTGAAGTTATATAAACTTGACCAACCTTCTTCCGGATTAAACTATAATCCTGGGATACTAAAATAGGAAAACAAGAAATAAATATTTAATATAGGTTTTTCTCTGCATTGGTTGAAACAGAAGTAACTTCCCTTCTAATATATGTTCAAAGTATACAAATAGAATAATAGTAATACAGAGCACCATCATTTTAATAAGTATTAGGGTACCTTCCATTACATAACTTAATATTTACCTGGGAGCATAAGGCTTATTCAGTAAGTAATAATTGCCTGATTTAGTGACAAGAAGTACTGTTTTGTATTTGTAATCTATTATGTATGGTTATAACATTTCACATAAATATCTCAATCCATGATATATCCACAAACTAACTGTAGTAGTGTGGTTAATATCACTGCTCTATAGGGTTTGAATATTTTCTTCACATAGTGTTATAACCTAAAACTCCCTGGACCTCAGGTTTTACAAAGTGAAGAAAATACTAGTGTAAATTTCACAGGTTGTTTGAGAGAATTATATGGATTTCAATAGTCAAATTTCATATAAAAGCATCTGGCATATAATAAGCACCAAACAAGTATTAACTATTGTATCATCTGTATCCCAAATTCAAGTAAAAATAACATATAGCATAGCACACTATAATGGAGGTCTCTTCCATCATACCAATGTTAACAGTAAGGATTTAAAATAGGTGAGGATTGGTGTAGTCACAAAATATTTTCTCAGTAAAGAAATGTTAATATATTTTTTCTTCAATTTTTCAACCGCTAAAGATGGAGGAGAAAAATCATAATTTACAAATTGGTCTTAATAAGGAATTTTAGAAATTTAGAACATAATCTGTATTTCATATTCATTTTTTCAACTTATTTGATGTATGAATATTTATTTTAATTTTTGCTTTTTACTTTGAACCAACTCCAATCTTTTGTAAGAATAGGACAGGTATGTTTTAAGTATTTTATATTAAAATGTACTATATTTTGATCAAATATATCAGCCAAATTCAGAAAGTACTTACCCTGTATTCCACTCCATAGAGTGTCCAAATGTTTTGTAATGCATATCTCCATCTGATGAATTGGGAACATGACAACACATTTTAACAACCAAATTATACTCACTGGCTTGCCAAAACATCCTAGTGAAGTCCTGCCAGTGAGTCAAATCAGAGATTTTGTAGATACATAGGTAGGTAGATGGATAAGAAGACAGACAGATAGATTAGTGTATATGGAGAGATTGATAGGTATATAAGTATATGAATACATGTATGTACTTTCTATTATAGAGCTGGTTGGGGGTGTATGCAAGTGACTTTTTTTTTAAGTTCTTGGGTACATGTGCAGGATGTTCAGGTTTGTTGCATAGGTAAACCTGTTCCATGGTGGTTTGCTGCACCTATCAACCCATCACCTAGGTATTAAGCCTGGCATGCATTAGCTATTATTCTTGATGCTCTCTCCCATCCCGCCCTCCCCCAACAGGACCCAGTGCATATTTTTCCCCTTTCTGTGTCCAGTTGTTCTCATTGTTTAGCTCCCACTTATACATGAGAACATGTGGTGTTTGGTTTTCTAACCCTGTGTTAGGATGCTGAGGATAATGGCTTCCAGCTTAATCCATGTACCTGCAAAGGACATGATCTCATTTCTTTTTATGGCTGCATAGTATTCCATAGTGTACATGTGCCATATTTTTAAATCCAGTCTATTGTTAATGGGCATTTGGGTTGATTCCATGTCTTTGCCATTGTGAATTGTGCTGCAATGAACACACATGTGTGTATATCTTTATAACAGAATGATTTATATTCCTTTGGATATATACCCAGTAATGGGATTGCTGGGTCAAATGATATTTCTGGTAATAAATCTTTGAGGAATCACCACACTGTCTTCCACAATGGTCAAACTAATTTACTTACATTTCCACCAATGGTATAAAAGTGTTCCTATTTCTCCACAACCTCACCAGCATCTGTTATTTCTTAACTTCTTAATAGTAGCCATTCTGACTGATGTGAGATGGTATCTCATTGTCGCTTTCATTTACATTTCTCTAATGATTAGTGATGTTGAGCTTTTTTCTTATGTTTGTTGGCCACATATATGCCTTCTTTTGAGTAGTGTCTGTTCATGTGCTTTGCCTACTTTTTAATGTGGTTGGTTTTTTTGTTGTTGTTGTAAATTTGTTTAAGTTCATTATAGATTCTGGAATTAGACCTTTACTATTTATTACTGCCTCCATTTCAGAACTTGTTATTGGTCTATTCAGGGATTCAACTTCCTCCTGGTTCAATCTTGGGAGGATGTATATGTCCAGGAATTTATCCATTTCTTTCTAGATTTTCTAGTTTATTTGCATAAAGGTGTTTATAATATTCGCTGATGCTTGTTTGTATTTTTGTGGGATCAGTGATAGTATCCTTCTTATCATTTCTGAAAGTGTTTATTTGAATCTTCTCTCTTTTCTTCTTTATTAGTCTAACTACTGGTCTATGTTAAGTGACAGTTTAAAAAACTTTTGTTTTTATTATTATTTATTTTTAAGCAAGTCTTTTGTTTATCTTTTTCCGTGAATTTTAATTAAGCTGTCTTTGGTCATTTCACCTTGGACGTGCTGTTAAGACATCACATTCATCATTTGGCTTTTTTTAGGAGCACTACAGTCCCAAATTTTCAAATGCATATGTTTTTCACAGTTTTTTTTCTTTTTTTTGTGTGACAAATAGCAAACATGTTTCCTTTAGATTCGGAATAGAAGACCCACCTGAAATTCCACACACACACACACACACACACACACACACACACAATTTCTAGAAACAACAATTAAATAACAATTAGTTAAAACAATTAGTTAAATGTCCATTAAATAACCATTAAGAATATATGTAGGTGAGCTTATGATAACAGTAAAACCAGAAGTCAACAATATTTTACAAGGAATGTAACAGAACTTGTCCATTCATACATGAAAGTACCACAGCACCACATTTCTAGCTATGAGTGTACCATTTCCTGCGCCTTCCTCCCATTTTATAGCTCAATACAGCACTCACGTAAGGCTCTCTTTCTCCATGAGATGCTATTTTAAATGCTTCCAACAAAGATCATACTAAACAGAAATGAAATCTCAAATTAAGTACTTGTTTAAACACCTCTTTATTTAACTTTTCAGAAATGGTAAAGGCCTTGCTCTTGTTTAGAGCATTTTAATTTCATGTTAATTACCTTGAAAAGCTTTCATTTCAAGCAAAGTTTCATTTGCTTACAGAAATTTTTCTCATTGCTCATTTCCCACCTATGAGTGAGAACATGCGGTGTTTGGTTTTTTGTCCTTGCAATAGTTTGCTGAGAATGATGGTTTCCAGCTTCATCCATGTCCCTACAAAGGACATGAACTCATCTTTTATGGCTGCATAGTATTCCATGGTGTATATGTGCCACATTTTCTTAATCCAGTCTATCATTGTTGGACATTTGCGTTGGTTCCAAGTCTTTGCTATTTTGAATAGTGCCGCAATAAACATACGTGTGCATGTGTCTTTATAGCAGCATGATTTATAATCCTTTGGGTATATACCCAGTAATGGGATGGCTGGGTCAAATGGTATTTCTAGTTCTAGATCCCTGAGGAATCGACACACTGACTTCCACAATGATTGAACTAGTTTACAGTCCCACCAACAAACAGGGACACAGGAAGGGGAACATCACACACCGGGGACTGTTGTGGGGTGGAGGGACGGGGGAGGGATAGCATTAGGAGATATACCTAATGCTAAATGACGAGTTAATGGGTGCAGCACACCAATATGGCACATGTATACATATGTAACTAACCTGCACGTTGTGCACATGTACCCTAAAAATTAAAGTATAATAATAATAAAATTTTTTTAAAAAAGTAATTTTTTTTTCTGTTGCCCTTTGATTGATAGCATGAGTATTTATTTTACCCAATGCATTGTTAACTCCAAAGCTGTTTTCATTGTCCGCTGTTTTGGATTCATTTGCAATCTTCCTAGGGATTGAAAATGTTTCTATTGTATTATGTGCAGATTTAGTCTAAATTTGTTTAAAGTCACCTCTGTTTGCCTCTCAATACTCTTACCCACCACCCCCTGCTCCACTGACTTTCTCCTCATTCCCTCTCTGAACATTTGTTCTGGTAACAAGATTTGTCAAATGTTTTTGTTTAAGGAAGGAAGAGAAAACGTTCTTTTGAGTGATTTTGAGCAAGGGTCTGAAAATGACTTGTCTGAGTCTTACATTTTTAGTAAGATAACAACAAAGGATAGGATAGTGAAAAATAAAATAAGTAGCAGCAACTATCTTGTACCTTAAACACAAGTACTTTATCAAAGTCAATAGAGAATTAAATTTTCATGCATATCTACATATTATAAAACATACATATTTTGCATATTTTAGATGTTTTTAGCTTTATTTCAAATTTTCCTTTTTTAAAAAATTTGTTTTGACTTCTTAAAATAATTCTATATACTTTTAAAATATACCTCTATTTTTTTCTCATGTTTTAAACATGTACTGATTTATGCAGAAGTGTGAGTGTGTGTGTGACAAATGACCTGAATTTGCCAATGGATTTTTTTCACTTACTTATGAGATAGGCAAATATTTAATTGATTTCCACTTTTATTACATTCACTCTTCCATTTCCCAGTCATCTTCCAGCATCTGTCTTAGTTGCCCACTCTGAACACACTTCTTTGAAAATAACAGCAGCGAAAGGAACTACCACTTATTTAGATCTTGCTTTATGCTAACCACTATTCTAAGTGCCTAAGTACCACCATATAAAATCCATACTGTTATTGTTTTCTTGTTTTACAGGTGGAACAATGAGGTGAATAGATTTAGTAACTTGCCTAAAGTCATACACCTCATAGTTAGAAAAATTGATATTGAAATCAACAAAGCCTGCTTCCAGAGTTCATGTTCTATAACTTGTATAAACATCTCCAATTTTATCATTCATTTTAGCTACTGATCCAGCATTTATCACTTAATTTATGCTCTTTATTTTCATTAAGATTGTTCTTCTGTCCAATCAAAAGTCTATTCTCTCAGAAATTATTTTCCTCAGTCAACTAACAAAATTTATGAAGTATAAACTTTAATATGATTTTTTTGAATTCTTTTCTTCTTGAAATTAATATATGGCTTTTTCCTGTCAAATGAGAAGTTTATCCCATTTTAAATTGGTATGAGAGCTTCTTTAATGATACTGTTCTTAGATGTAACTTGTATAACACAAATACATCGTGTTTAATTCTTTGTGTGTTTGTAGTTTTCCTGACTTTTTTTTTATTAAGTAGATAATTGGAAAAATATTTGTAAAATAGCACTAAAAAACACTGACATGAAACTTATTAAGATATTAAGTGCACAAGGATACATAGAACATGGATCTAATTCATGTTGCTTTTATATATTAGCTTTGATTTTTTTTCTTCGTGCGCAGGTGAAGAAGAGATTTAAAATATTGTTCTTTCTGTTAAGTCTCAACAATATATGCCTTTAAATAATCTCTCAGGAAGCCATTTCTTGTATAGTTTGTGCCTGGTGGCACTGCAATAACTTTACAAGTGTTAAGTAGTAAAAATGGTCCTTTTCTCTATTGCCATCAAACACTCACTTTTTTACTACGCCATTTTCACATCAGTGTTCTTACTAAGGCTAACAGCAGAGAAAATTTTGTCCTCAGTTTTTGCATTATATTTTAAGTTTTTAAATTCTTGTTGCTTTCTTTTCTGTTCATGCCATTGACTCACCTCAATAAGATTCCAAGAAAGCTCATAGGGAATAATGATTAATTATTGTCTTAGAGTTCTATAGCTCCCATGTTATGAACACTACTAAGACTGAGAGGAATCAAGTGCTTACAGACTATATGCAGATGAAGATAAACTTAAAGCATCTTCATCACCCATAGTTGCAGCTACAGTGGCTGTAGAGAGGGATATTCCTTGGAATGAATGGGAGAAAATCCATGAAACATCTCTATTAAAAATTATGAAAGCGAGGTCAGACAAGTAAACATATAAGTAATCATCTGAACCTCATTCATCGATCACTTGGTGGCGGGCGCCTGCAGTCCCAGCTATTTGGGAGGCTGAGGCAGGAGAATGGCGTGAACCTGGGAGGCAGAGCTTGCACTGAGTAGAGACCGCACCACTGCATTCCAGCCTGGGCAACAGATAGAGACTCCGTCTCAAAAAAAAAAAAAAAAGAAAGTTTCAGAACTTTTAATACCCATTTTCCAGATCAAAGTACAGGTACAGATTTATGGACCTTATAGGATGGTGAGTATACTTTGCCTTCATTCTTTGGTCTCTAGTAGGTACCCAATAAATGTTTATAAAATGAATGGATGTAAAGAACTTACATAAATACTGAGAAAGCCTCATCCAGATACCCTGTATCATTATTCAAAGAAAAGATTTGTGGTAATATCAAAGGAGAGAGAGCTGTATTCATGAACATTTTGGGAAATTTTGGTCTTTTTTTTTTTTTTCTCAGTGAGTGAAGTTATACCCATAAAGCCATTTTTGCCTTTTTGGAAGATAGTGAAGCTATCTATAAAAAGTCATATTATCTATACCTGTATATTGTCTATTTCTCTGCCTCTTCTTTTTACTTTTGTTTTCCTTTCTCTCAACTAAGAATTCATGTAGTGGTTTTAAGCAGTAATGACTATAAGAGTCAGTAGAAAACTTCTCTTAATGCCTGCTCTTCATTATAAAGAGAACCCAATTTCCAAATAATTATTTCCAAATATATCCAGACTCTACAAGAATCTGACCCCTAAGTCAGAACAATTTTTAAAAAGTAAAGGTCTTAAACTCTCAAAATTATCTCAAGCAGTGGACATGTGCACTTATCATGGAGTACTAAAGATGTGATGACATCTGACACTGTTATCGACTCTGAAAAACATTGGCTTCACTTTATCTCTCTGATAAAGCAAATATCCTCAACCCATAATGAGGTTTGGAGGAAAACAAATACCAAATGAAGGTCTTGCTGAAGATCCTTTCCTGAAAATCCTAAAATTTGAGTTGAAAATGAAAGCAATAAATCATACTAAGACAGAAAACTGAAACGTGCAGGTTTAGACTCTAGAAAAGAATTGAGTACTTGGAAATATGTCTTCCCCTTTTTGAGCAGAAATGTACCAAAACGATCCCGGAGCTGATCTATTAGAAAAACAAAAATCTGAAATTATTTTTATTTTGATCCCTTGATTGATGTAGTTTATTTTTTCCCAATGTCATGATCCTTGCCCAATTAATTGACCATGTATCCTAATTTTAATTATGTTAAATATGGAAATCATACTCTATCCCAGAGATATGTCACAAAACTCCTCTAAACTAAAAAACACCAAGACAGTGTTTTGGGAAACTGCCTCTCCCATTTCTGTATGATTTCTTCTGAGACATTTTAATTTCATATGCAAAAACCACCATTCACAGTTCCATGTGGCTGGGAAGGCTTCACAATCATGGTAGAAGGCAATGAGGGGCAAGTCACATCTTGCATGGATGGCTGCAGGCAAAAAAAGAGCTTGTGCAGAGAAACTCTTGCTTTTAAAACTATCAGATCTCGTAAGACTCATTCACTATCATGAAAACAGCACAGGAAAGACCCACCCCCCTAATTCAATCATCTCCTGCCAGGTTCCTCCCACAACATGTAGGAATTGTGGGAGTTACAATTCAAGATAAGATTTGGGAGGGAACACAGGCAAGCCAGATCAATTAGCCCTGGCGCCTCCCAAATCTCATGTCCTCACATTTCAAAACCAAGCATGCATTCCCGACAGTCCCCCAAAGGCTTAACTCATTTCAGCATTAACTCAAAAGTCCATAGTCCAACATCATCTGAGACAAAGCAAGTCCCTTCCACCTATAAACCTGTAAAATCAAAAGCAAGTTAGTTGCTTCCTAGATACAATAGGGTTATAAGCACTGGGTAAATACAGCTGTACAAAATGGAAGAAATTGGCCAAAATAAAGGGGCTACAGGCCCCATGCAAGTTCAAAATCCAGTGGGGCAGTCAAACCTTAAAGCTTCAAAAGGATCTCCCTAGACTCTATATCTCACATCCAGGTCATGCTGATGCAAGAGGTGGGTTCCCATGGTCTTGGGCCTCTCCACCCCTGTGGCTTTGCAGGGTAGGGTCTCCCTCCCAGCTGCTTTAACGGGCTGACATTGAGTGTCCATGGCTTTTCCAGGCTCATGGTGCAAGCTCTCAGTTGGTCTACCATTCTGGCATCTGGAGGATTGTGGCCCTCTTCTCACAGCTCCACTAGGCAGTGCCCCAGTAGGGACTCTCTTTGGGGACCACATATTTCCCTTCCACACTGCCCTAGCAGAGGTTATCGATGAGGGCCCTACCCCTGCATCAAATTTCTGCCTGGATGTACAGGCATTTCCATACATTCTCTGAAATCTAGGCAGAGATCCCCAAACCCCAATTTTTGACATCTTGCAGGCTCAACACCACATGGAAGCTGCCAAGGCTTGAGGCTTGCACCCTCTGAAGCCACAGCCCAAGCTCTTTTTTGGCCCCTTTCACCCATGAGTAGAGGTGCTGTGATGCAGGGCACCAAGTCCCACACTGTACACAGCACAAGGATCCTGGGAACAGCCCACAAAACCACTTTTTCCTCATAGGCGTTGGGCCTATGATGGGAGGGGCTGCTGTGAAGACCTCTGACATGACCTGGAGATACTTTGCCCATTGTCTTGGGGATTAACATTTGTCTCCTCATTAGTTATGCAGATTTCTTCAGTGGGCTTGAATTTCTCCTTAGAAAATGAGATTTTCTTTTCTGTCACATTGCCAGGCTGCAAATTTTCCAAACTTTTATGCTCTCCTTCCCTTATAAAACTGAATGCCTTTAACAGCACCCAGGTCACCTCTTGAACGCTTTGCTGCTTAGAAATTTCTTCCACTAGATACCCTAAATCATCTCCCTCAAGTTCGAAGTTCCACAAATCTCTAGAGCAGGGGCAAAATGCTGCCAGTCTCTTTGCTAAAACATAACAAGAGTCACCTTTGCTCCAATTCCCAACAAGTTCTCATTTCCATCTGAGACCACCTCAGCCTGGACTTTCTTTTCCATATCACTATCAGCATTTTGGGCAAAGCCATTCATTAAGTCTCAAGAACGTTCTAAATGTTCCTACATTTTCCTATCTTTTTTTGAGCCCTCCAAACTGTTCCAACCTCTGCCTGTTATCCAGTTCCAAAGTCTCTTCCACATTTTTGGGTATCTTTTCAGCAACGCCCCACTCTATTGGAACCATTAGTCCATTTTCACACTACTGACAAAGACAAACCTGAGACTGACAATATACAAAAGAAAGAGGTTTAATTGGAATCACAGTTCTTCTTCACTGAGGAGGTCTCAAAATCACAGTGGAAGGCAAGAAGGAGTAAATCACATATGACATGGTTGGCGGCAGGTGAAAAAAGAGAGCTTGTGCTCTCGTTTTTAATATCATCAGAACTTATGAGACTCATTCTCTATCACAAGAACAACATAGGAAAGACCTGCCCCCATAATTAAATCACCTCCCACTAGGTTCCTCTCACAACATGTGGGAATTGTGGGAGTTACAATTCAAGATGAGATTTGGGAGGGGACACAGCCAAACCATATCAGCATCAATAAAGAATATGATAGCTACTCACGTAAGAACAAACATTTAATCCCTGCCTTCTTCTGTCTTTCCTTCCATTCCTCTTTCCTGTTTTCTTCCTTCTTTTACTTGCTTAATTCCCTGCTTTACCCTTCTTTTGTTTTCCCCCATTCCTTCCTTTTGTGTAAGACAACATGAAGTATTATATATAGTTTGGATTTTTTAAAAATATACATTTTAAAGTGTAGGCTTTGATATTTTCTAGCTATGAAAACTTGAGCACATTACCCATTTCAAGCCTCAATTATCTCACCTATAAAATAGAGCTAATAATGCTTACCTAAGATTAATATGATGAAATTATAAGATAAAAATAAAATATATAACATATATAAAGCACTCAATAAATGTAAAGTATTATTTTTAAATGCTAGTTTTTTTATTTGCATTCCATGCTATTTCCATCCTTCTTTACTCACTGACTTAAACACAGCTTGCTAGGCACTTGCTAAGTTCTACCATGACATAGTGAAAGAAACCTCGTTTTTTCACTAAAGTAGCTTATGATCTATTAGAGAAGATGAAACAAACAAACCAAAAACATAAATGGATGAGGCCAAATAAAAATAGCCAGTACTTTAAAAGAGTTTTAGTGTTTGTTGGAGACAAAGGATTACGCAGCCTTATACATTTTAGAAAAAAAAAGTATGATATTACTGCAGAACGACTATCTCCATATCTGTTCTCTTCTTTAGCACTAGTGATTACTAACATTTTCTATGTACACACTCAATATTGTACCTATGTGGAGCTGCTTCATGGGCAAAGTAATTTGGTCAAAATACATATTTGGAATTGCTTGTGTTTCAAATGTTCTTTATGTAACTTCTTTATAGTATGAAAAAAAATTTCAATTTCTCAGGCATTCTGGATAAATTGGACGAGCTTTTTACTGACTCCAGTTAAGTTCAATTCAAAAAAGTTGATCACTAGCATTGTAGAAATGAAGGGAGGGATAATGCTCCTAGAGGCAACCTTAAACCACAGTGGAGTAAAAGTTAGTGGACAAATGTCCCAGCCTTCCAGTTATGGGTGGGTGTGGGTGGCAATTTTGAGATATATTCTGCTTTGATTCCCAGAGGATCCCAAGCAGGACTGAGCTGAGAGTGATAAATACTCATTAACACAGGTTATTGGCCTTTTTCCAATCGCTGTATTACTTTATCTAACACCTGTGCTTCCTTGATCATCTCCAAATAAAACATTTGTACTTAACTTCTTATCTTAGAGTGTGGTTATAAGAAAATTCAACATCAGGCATATTCCAACCATATGTATCACTAATAAATGATGAACACTGAAGTTCAGCTAGCATAGCACGTCATTAAATAATTTCATATTACTCCTCATAATAGTGTTGAATTTTTTAATACTTAATATGTGATAGTCACAGTTCCTAAGACTTTAAGGTATTAACTCATTTAATCTTCACCATTATCACGTAAAGAAAGTATGCTTATTCTTCACTTTACAGATAAGGAAACTGAGGCATACAGGCTTTAATTAACTTGAGAAAAGTCACAGAGCTAGTAAAAAGTAGAGTTAGGTTTCAAACCCCAACAGCCTGTCTTCAGAACCATCATACTTAAACACCACAGATACACGGATTAACTGACTCAATCATTATCACTATAATTATAAACATCATCATCATCATCCTTGTGAAAACAAAAGTAGATACTTTTTTGTCCTTTTAAAATTTTGTTTCTATTTGTTTCTTTATATTTTAGTACTTTGCATTTACTTGGAAATCCATGGCTTACAATTTAGGAGAATATATTCAAATCATTTTCATCAGCCTTTTACCTAAAAGTTGTAAGCTGTAACTTGGTCAACTTTGATTCCTTAACATTAACCAAAAGGGCTATTATTTTAATATGTTAGAGCTACTACTTCATATCAGGAAAAAATTCAGTTGAATATTAGAAACATTTTCTTAACTGAAACTCACACAATCACTGGAACAAATTGTAAAATACAGCTTTGGTGTCTCCAGCATTAGAAACTTTAAAACTTGTGTACAAAATATTTGTTGCCAATATTTAGAATGTCATTTTTCTGGTCAGTTCTTATTCATCTTTAATTACATAGAAGTTGTTTTCTCTAGGAAGCCGTCCTTAGACTACAATTGAGATTAGATGTTTTCCTCTCTGTTTCCATAGTATATTATTTTTACCTCTCTTCTCATTTATCTCATGGAATTATGTTTTCTTATTTATCTGTATCAAGGGTGTTTTAAGGCAGGATGGAACTTATTCAGCAATTAAATCAGCAATTACTGACAAAAACAAGTGCTTATGCTTTGAATATTTAACTGGATAAATAAGCTAATGGAAAAGATTGGACAGCCTCAACTGTTCACTTTCATTAGAGTAGTAGAAAGGGGATATAACTGAGTCTACTTTAATCAAAGAGAAAGCACAAGAACTAAGGTAGAAAGAAACAGACCAGGGCATTGCTAGAGATTAGAGACCAGAAAATAAAGGACAATGAAAGAGAGGCTTTTCCCCAAAGTTAACGTAGCCTATGGCTTGGTTACCTTAATAATCCCAGTTTCCACCAGTTTTCTTTCTGTAATGATTATTAATAATTCCCTCTTTAACTCACAAAAGTATCCCAGTATGTATGATAAATTTTGTGATCAATTTGCCACAGAAACATATCCCATCCTTCCATGCTGCCATGGAAGGATGAGTGCTTGGTGATAAAACAAATATTACAAGATAGGAGATGAGATATTTTTTATATTGAGGCTTTGGGTCCTCTGGTAGCTGCAGCAATATGAGCTATTCATTAACTGGCACATCATTGAGTTTGTCCAATTAAAAACTGAAAAGCATAGAGAAGTGATTCAATGTCTTTGCAACAGCTTTGCTGACATTCTAAAAGTAAAGACAACCATTCAGTTCAAAATACTTCTCTCTTTCAAGGGAAAAAATTATAATGCCCTGGGAGAGTGAGATAACACAGATTTACAGATTTAGGTAGACTGAACCAAAAATGTTGCTCGGAATCAATTCACAGAAGCCACAGAGACAAAGAAGCTGAGATCCGTTTACTTCTACTAAATAATTACAACAGATTAAGAACATTATCTGAGAATAATCAGTAGCTCATTTAAAAATAATATCCAATTAAATGGAAATATATTTAAGAGTCTCATGGCAAAACTAACACTAGGGTTCATGACTAGGACCCAACATTTTGGTTAAAAATCCCTGTAATTGATTCAGAATATCAAAATTCTTCTCAATCTTGAATAACAATTATGAAAACATCCTGACCATTTTTTTTGGCTGGATAATGATAATAATTCTTAGGCCTGGAAATTATAAAAGGAAATGTATTCATTTATTGGTGTTGATATATTGTTTTTTTCTAAATAATAATGAGCTGACTTCTAAAATAATTAAATTTTAAAATGTCATTTTTTATCTAAAATGACATTATCTTTTTAATAATGATTTGAATATCTTAGCATAATGAATGTAATTTACTACCTTAAATCCCAATTCCTTTACCATACCATAAACCAAAGCATATTTTCTCACAATTCATTGTACTTATATTTTCACACATTCTTTTTTTTTTCTTTTTTTTTAATGTCCTAAGGGGAGGTTAGAGCAAAAGAAGAAAGGAGACTGGGAATAGAGAGAATGGTAGTAAGAAGAGCAAGCTTTCAGGAATTGGACATGAAATAAGAGAGCATAAATGGGAATGAGCTGGAAGAACTGTTTTTTTTTTTCATTTTTTGAATGTTAAGGTTTGATGTATTTTAAAACTGCACATGCATGATAGAATATGTACCAGAAAGAATTGCAATTGCTCCAAAGTTCTTGGCAATGCACTCCAGACAGTCCTTGCTTTCTGAGAAGCCAGTTTACAAAATTCCCATTTAGAAATGATAGTGATTATCCACTCTATGAAAGCATTAGCTCGGGATCTCTTTGCAGAGCTCACTCCCCTAGTGCACTTCAAATATATTTTGACCTTTCAGAGCAAGGGAATAAAACAAGGTAAGCCTCCTGTTAACTCGGTTTCTACAATTCAGTTTGGAAAATGATTCATGTCTTCTAATATTCTCCGGTGAACCTCCTTGTTGGTCAGCATTAGACCAAATCACCTTGGAAAGGCTATCACAGAATTCCTTGGGTGTTCTTTCTGCTTCCTTATAGCAGAAAACAAAATGTAGTGAGTATGAGTAAAACATTATTTGATACTCAGAAGCTTACAATTCAGAGGTGAAATCACAGATCTGGAAAGAAGCAACCCTCTTCCCTTTCAAATGGCCACCTATATGCAGGACAAGATAGAGAGGTTCCCTTTTGGGTCAAGTAAAAGGATTTTGATCTATTCAAAAGAGAAGATTTAATAAAATTGATCATCTCAAGCTTAAAAAACACAGATTAGACAGAGGAAACACACTGATCTCATAAATAGAAACTATTATGCTTAAAGGGATTTAATATCCCCATTATTTGAATCTAGGGCAAATAACTCACTTTAATGTCAGTAATTTTAAAACTATTAATGTGTCATTATAATACCTCTGTAACTTAAAAAACAAACTTGCCCTAGGTTTCTGGGTAATCCTGTTCTTTACAAAGCCTTTAGCAGTGCCTGTGGAATAATTACAGAATAAGTTTTGAGGTGAAGATATTTAGAGGTAATTTTGGAAGTTATTTTATGGTCACCACAACCCCAAGCAGACTGTTTGCAGGCAAAACGTCTTCACATTTACAATGGTGAATGAGAGATGGCTAGCCAAATACTTAAATATCCATGATTAATGAGATGTATTGTTTATTTTTCTAATCTTGAGTACAACTATGAATAATTAATAATTTTCCCTAGATATTATAACTAGATTATTATTTAAATTTCCACTTAATCACGCAAAGGAAAAGCAATGGCTATTGTTATTTATAACCATTTAGCCTATTTTCTTGCATCAATTTCAATTACTTGAACTGGGAGACTGAAGATACATTAAAGATAACTTTAGGAAAAAATGCCATTTAAAAAATTATCTGAGTAAAAATATCTGTCTGCAACATATGAGGGAAAAGGAAGCATACACATTCAAAGAAGTAAATATTACCAACCATAATCTGGGATATTGATGGTAAATGTCAAGCACAGTAGAGCCTGGAACAACATGGATTTGGACTTCACAGGTCCACCTATGCACAGATTTTCTTCTGCCTCTACCACATCTAAGACAGTAGGACCAAGACCTTCTCTTTCTCCCCCTTCTCAGCCTACTCAACATGAAGATTATGAGGACAAAGACCTTTATGATAATCCACTTCCATTTAATGAATAGTAAATATATTTTTTATGATTTTCTTACTAACATTTTTTTCTCTAGCTTACTTTATTGTAAGAATACAGTATATAATACATAAAAAATACACAATATGTATTAATCAACTGTTTATATTACTGGTAAGGCTTCTGATCAACTGCAGACTATTAATAGTTAAGTTTTGGAGAAGTCAAACCGCATGGGTTGTCAGTACCCTTAACACCCACACTGTTCAAGGGTCAACTGTAAGTGTTGCAGACAGAAAATGCAATGGACTATGAAAAGGAAAACAGAGTAGTTCTCCCATCTGATGTAACAAGATTAGGAAGACATCTAAGACATGTGAGATTAGTTTTGGACACTGAAGAATAAGTAGGCTTCCTAGAGGCAGAGAGATGGGGAGGCAGAAACTCCAGATTGTACATGAATCTTGAATATAGATGTTGTAAAAGATAAGGTAAATACTGTTAACTGCTATAACAAACAAACCCAAGATTATTAATGGCTTAATGCAATAAACTTATTTCTCTTTCAGGTAAAGTTTAAATGCAGGTTAAGCGTCCCTTCTCCATATGTGGTTATGCCATCTGAAACACGTTTCTTTTCAGGTTCATTACACTGTGAAAGAGAGATGGAGGAAGCACACGAGCTTTTAATTGCCATACTCCGTAAGTTACATGCATGTCATTTTGCTCATAGCCAACAGGCCAAAGCTAGTCACGTTTTCAACCCAAATGTGAGTGGGGCTGGGAAAAAGACTACAGATATCTCAGAAACAATACCCTTCTCTGTAATTTATAGATATATGTAAGATAAGTTTTGTATTATTGTTGTAGTCCTAAAATAGAGTCATAGTCCTAAAACTGAACATATTTTTGAGGAGGAAATCATAAGGATTTTGAAAATCAAAATGAGAATTGAATTTATCTTTTAAAAAAACTAAAGACATTAATGAATCTGAGCCCAAAGTTCCATAGTCCAAAAAATTTTCTAATGAAGAAAATTTTGTGTGTGTGTGTGTGTGTGTGTGTGTGTGTGTGTGTGTGCATATGGCATTGAGAGGTATGAGGATAATACATCAAGTATAGTATGGGCTGCTTATTCGTTAAGCCAAGCTAAGCTAAGCTAAGATGGGATTTCCTGGTCTCTGATTTTTTCACTCAGAAGTAAAAAATCAAATGCATTGGTTGGCTACTGTTGCCATTCAGTGTTTGGGTAGGTTCTAAAACAGATGCTGCTCTGTGGAGCCAGTAATGATTGTATATCTATGTTCTACTAGTCAGCTAGTTTTTCCATAACAAAATACCTTAAACTGGGTAGCTTAAACAACAGAAATTTATTTTCTCACAATTTTGCAAGCCAGAAGTCTGAGTTCAGGGTGCCAGCTGTGTTGAGTTCTGCTGAAGGCTTTCTTCCTGACTTGTTTTCTCACTATGTCCTCACATGGTGACAAGAAAAGAGAGTAAGCTCTCTGGTATCTTTTACAGGGATACTAATCTCATCATGAGGGCCCCACCCTCATAACATCATCTAAACTTAATTATTTCCCAAAGAGTGAAACTCCAAATACTGTCACATTGTTGGTTGGGACTTCAACATATGAATTTGGCAGTGGAGGGCACAATTCAAAGTATAGCATAAGTTAACTAAATATGAAAATTGGACTTAGCACTGGAGAAGGGACTACTGCTTCTCACTTTTGTCCTGTGCGCAAGGACATCTCATTTTCCACTTTTCCTCCATTTATCAAATTATTAGTCATCCCTCAAAACTCAAATAAGGCTCCTGCTTCTAAGTTAATCTTTAACTACCAGAGCTTACAATTGATTTCACCTATCTATGAAAATTTTTGTTGTTGTTGTAATTAGAATTAATGTTACACATAATTTTCCTCTAATTGGCTTATTTACAAGTGTTGTAAATGGATTTATACTTACAGGAATAATTACTGATGCATTTTATATAATTATTTTCTTGTTAATATTATATTGTGTAACACATAATATGTGTTATATGTTATATGCAGAATATAAAGTAAATCAGCTGCAACAATGTGAGTTCTTAACATTGGCAGCACCGAAACTGGGAATTATTTATAGTGGAATCTCCCTTAAAGTAGTAAAAGAGTAAACTATCTATTAATAGTAGAATATCCACTAAAACGATGGGTAAAGTGGGTGAAATTATATAATTTGTCATACATTTTGTGATAATTGCTCTCAAATGTGATCATGGCGAGTGTGTCATTGTCAGAATGTATTTTTTAAATAGCATAAGTTACAGTTTATTTACTTGCTTTTATAGAATCCCTGACTCCTGGCAACCTGTATCCCTGATTTTAGAGTTTCCCTCTTTACTTAGAAGAAAAAGTTTTCAGTTGAAAATTTAGCAACTCTATACAAATACCAACTTTTCCCAGGAGGAGAAAAAGGAATAGGAAAAACTTTGGAAAATATCAATCTTGGAAAATGAGGGAGAAGAAAGTGCTCTTGAGAAGGAAACTTTGCCCTCAGTTAAAAGAATACAAAGTGGAGTAATGCAAGGAAATTGTTAGGTTGAGAGAGTAGGAGAGAGATAAGTGGATCAGCTCACCCAGTCAGTTCACAGAGCTGGATGAAACGGGGGTAAGGATACCAGTGTGTTGTTTACTGGGTTATGTGGGGTTAGGAAAGTAATGATGTAACTTTCTTTTGTTTTACCTTTAATTGGTCTATACAAAGATCACTAAATATGTAACGTCTATACGACTTTGTAGTGGATCCAGTGTAGCAAGTGGGAAGGTTACCACCATTGTTAGTAACAGCAATCATATTTTGAGAAAAGTGACTATATTTTCCTCTTTTATATACTGTAAATCAAAAAGTGAGTGTTGATTAATGAACTCTTGTAGATACATCTCCTCTTCAGGACTAGGCTGTTCTTGGAGATTAAGAGTAAACATAGCTACATGAGGACCAATAAAAAAATTTTCTTCGTGCACCTTGTTCTCGTTCACAGAGAAAAGCATTCGCATTCAAAAATCTTCAGAGCTGTCAGGGGAAGATAGGGCCCACCTTACACTTGACATATATTAAACTTACAGGTTTTTCATTAGACACAAAAGGGGAATAACCGAATATGTTTGGGTATCAACAAATCACCCAGATAAACCATGCAGTATAATATACATAGAATAAAAGATAAAATGAACTGGCATGGATTACACCATGTGAGCTGTCTTTCTTTGCACCAGCTTCATCTCCTGCTTTCCGTAGTTCTCCGTGCTTCAATTACTGGTAGTTTAACAGTTTATTAGTTATCTTCATAATAAGGGAGATGACTAACTTCAAGTCTCCCCTTTCTTGCCTTAAATGTAACTGATTGTGAGACTTGCTTCTGGAAAAGATGGAGCAACCAAGACTAAATTTACCTTCCCAAGTAAAACAGCCAAATGAAAACAAAATAAATAAATGAAAGAATGTTTTTTAAATACTAACCATCAGGCAAATGGATCACAAAAATTCCTGAGAACTGAGATAAGTGAGATGGGCATATGATTTCCTTCACTTACTGACAAGAGAATTTCCAGGCTGTGCAGAGATGGGAAACTGAGGAAGGACATTCATTAGTTAACTTTTTAATACTATTCCAGGCATCATAACAGTAGTAGTAATGAGGTACAATGATCAACAAGATAAATTTCCTGCCATTAAGAGGCAAACAAAATAATAAGGCAAATTGGAAATAAACTCTTACCATCATTTTAACTGGATAAAAAGTGAAGCGTCTAAAGATGTATATATTTGGCACGTTTGAGTTCACAAGAGGAAGAACAAATTTCTAGCCAGGAAAACCATGAAAGGATTCCAAACAGAGATTAAACTTGTCCTTTGAGGATAGGTAATGAGTCCAGAATTGGTGGGTTCTTGGTTTTGCTGACTTCAAGAATGAAGCCACAGACCCTCGCAGTGAGTGTTACAGTTCTTAAAGATGGTGTGGCTGGAGTTTGTTTCTTCAGACGTTCAGATGCGTCTGAAGTTTCTTCCTTCTGGTGGGTTGGTGGTCTGCCTGACTTCAGGAGTGAAGCTGCAGACCTTCGAGGTGAGTGCTACAGCTCACTAAGGCAGCGTGGACCAAAAGAGTGAGCAGCAGCAAGATTTATTGTGAAAAGCAAAAGAGCAAACCTTAAACAGCTTGGAAGGTGACCCTAGAGGGTTGCAGCAGCTGGCTAGGTGGCCTGCTTTTATTCCCTTATTTGGCCCCACCCGCATCCTGTTGACTGGTCCATTTTACAGAGAGCTGATTGGTCTGTTTTACAGAGAGCTGATTGGTCCGTTTTGACAGAGTGCTGATTGGTGCATTTACAAACCTTTAGCTAGACACAGAGTGCTGATTGGTGCATTTACAATCCTTTAGCTAGACAAAAAAGTTCTCCAAGTCCCCACCTGATTAGCTAGACACAGAGTGCTGATTGGTGCATTTACAAACCTTTAGCTAGACACAGAGTGCTGATTAGTGCATTTACAATCCTTTAGCTAGACGGAAAAGTTCTCCAAGTCCCCACCCATCCCAAAGGCCCAGCCAGCTTCACCTCTCAGTAAGATATCGTCTGCACGGATTGGGTAATATATTCTAAGCAGAGAAAATATCAACACGAAAATAATGCAAGGAGAAAAATACAGAACAATCCAAAATGTGGCCCACTAAGTCAGTGTGTAATGTGGAACAAGTAAAAGCTTAGGTTAAGCAAGTGAAAGTGTGAGGTCAATGAAGAAACAGCCTGTTTCTGTCTCATTAGTAACTTATCTAAAGAAACAAGCAAATTTTCCTGAGAGATCCCAGGTAATCAATAAATAAACATAACTAAAAGAACAAATAAGTAAAATAAAAAATGTTAAAATCTGTGAAAAAGTTCTGCAACCTGTAAGTACTCTATAAAGGCAACTTAGAGCTGAGACACACATTTTTTTAAGTTTACTGCAATGTAGCCTACTGGAAACGTTTCTTAATGATAGATTCAGGAGGAAGATAAGGGAACCTGCCTAGGGCCTTGTCTGGGCATGCCCACAATGGACTGGGGTCCCGCCTGTGAACTGGGAGAGTGGGATGGAGCCACCAGGAATTCCTTATGCAGAGGGGACGAGCTGGGCCTTTTCAGCTCCTGTGTGGTGGCCTGGTATTCAGTCTGTCAGGTGAAAGCCTGTTGGCAGGACCCCTTTTTTTTTTTCCTGAGAGCTTTCCTTTAATAAATACCACTCTTCTTACCTTTCAATGTGTCCACGTGCCTAATTATTCCTGGTTCTGTGACAAGAACCCGGATTTTAGCTGAATTAAGAAGCAAAAAAATCCTACATCACTAATAGAAACCTCATGTGTAGAAGTTTATGTAGTTAACTTCAATAATTCTGTGTGAATAAGTGGATTAAGTGCTTTATGTTTTCAAACTTTACACTCAAGCCTGTCCAATAAATCTATAAGTCCAAAACTAGAATTATTTTTCCTTAAATATTCCAATGTTCCAGGGAGTAGATAATGCTTTTTGCAGATTACTCTGTTAAAGGCTATTAGGGGATACCCCTTCTTAGAAACAGCTAAAGTCTAACCACGGACACAGGAGGACTCTCAAATTTGTTTATTAGATCCATATCCTTCCTCGGGTTTCTTGTCACTTCTCCTGTCTTTCCAGTAAAGCCCACTGAAGGAAGAAAAAGCTGCGTCTTCATCTTCACTGTGACCTAATTTTTCTTATGTTCCATGCAACAGTGAGTTCAAAATCAAGCTACAGTGATCTGCCTGGAAACAATGATCAGTAAAATCCAGGGTAAAATCATGAAAAACAGAAACATAACCTAATAAAAGTGAGAGCTAGGATATTCTCTTGAACCAAAGCAAAGGAAGCAGAAAGAGTAAGAAGATGTTAAATCCTATATATATATTTTTAAAATAGAATGGAAGGAATTCACTAAATAATTGAATATGAAGTTTGAGAAATAGAGGAGCTAAACGTGTTATTAATACGTAAGTTTTTTTTTGCTTGAGCTACTGAAAATTGGAGGTTCCATTTATTATATGGTGTAAGTTCTAATATGAACAAATTTGGGAGTAGGAATCAAGAATTCTATTTTGATTGTGTTCAATTAGAGAGCCTATTTAGATATCCAAGAGGCAACCTTAACTAGTTCATGGTATCTGTGAATCTAGAATTCAGTAGACTTATCAGATCTAAAGATATTAGTTTGGAAGTTTTAGAAATTATATATTATATTTTGATTATGTAATGATTATATTTTTGATTATATTAATTATTATGATTTTACAAATGACTTTCAAATCCAAGAAACAAATAATGTTACCTAGGAAATGAGTTTAGACGAAGGCAAGAAGTATTTAAGAATCCGAACTCAGTATCAATTCAATACAAACTCTAAAATTTAGAAGCTAGGAAGAAATAAATAAAATAATCTGAAATGGAACACCTAATGAGGTAGAAGAAAAATTAAAGAAAGAAGAGTTGTAGGAGCCAAAAGAAAAAGTCATATAATGAAATATATTCTATATCTAATTTAGAAAACCAAAAGACTTATGATATAACACTATGTACGTAAAAAACTGGGTATTAAACAGACATAATATTAAATCAACAGCACGTTTCCGTAAATGTTTTCATGTACATCAAAAAATTCTAGAAAACTTTGTAAGAATTAATGAATGCCTTTAGAAAGTAGCAGAGAAAAGAATGGGGAAGTTGGAAAGTAATTTTTTTAAACTCATTTTGATTAACATATAAGTATCATTTTTGTAATAAACATTGTTGAAAGAAATCTCTTAATATGGATAGATATAATACATAAAATTATTTGCAAAATACACTTTAACAAATATTTCATATTTATACAAGTTTTTGTTTTTATGTTATAGTTCTTAATTTTAAAAACATGATTAAAAAGTCATGAAATTTTTACATGTTTATAAACTCTTACTTTTATTTATAAATAAAATTCCCTAAGCAAATGGGTCCAAAGCAAATAATAATGAAACTGATTTCTAATTCATCTGATACAAATAACAACAAGCCAGTCTCATTCAATATTCCTAATAATTAAAAAGGAGAGCAGCATTTTACACCAGGAGAAAAACACAACTAAAAGGTAGAGATTTTAAGATGGTGGTGTCAACTCTATCACTTGTGTAATGTCGGGTAAGTCACATAATTTCTCTTTGCTCAAATTTCTTAGTTCAGGTAAATGAGATGATAATGATGCCAACACATTTATCTTGGTTTCACAAAGTAATGATTAGATGGGGTAATATAAGTCAAACTGATTTGGAAAACAGAAAACTTATTAGACCCCATAAATTGCTGTCAGTATTTAAATCATTGTCTTGCATATAAATTAAGTCTCTGACTGTTTGTTTCTCAAATATTTACTACAGAAATTATGATCCCACAGGTATATTTTATAACTTAATATTTATTGACTTTTTACCTTCATAATATTTGGAAAGAAAATTTTAAATTACATGTGATTTACTTACTCTAAGATTGCTGAAGAGCTCAAAGCTGTTCCCTAAACAGAATCCTTTAAAAGTCCCCTTCCCTTTCACTGCCTCCAGTGATAAGAATTTAATCAATTCATACAAAAATGAAGCCTAACTTGCTTAAGCAGCTCTTATCACTCAGACATTATTTTCATCAGAGTCAACATGTATTTTGCTCTTTATTCATTTTGTCCAATTTACTTTTAGTTCTTTGTCCATGTAGCTGTTACAGTATAGATTATATCTCAAAATAAATCACTTTTCTAATAGGAAGTTCCTCATACCTACAAAAAGACACAGTATTTTATTGAAGTATGGTTAACACCTAACTCCTGGAATTATATTTGGCCACATTAAAATTATTGTCCATAAGATATACCTAACTAACATGTGAATTGTGACTAATGTGAACACAGCAGAATACCTCTTTTTCATCTATTCTGGCCTACTGAGGTATTAATATTTAGTAACAATTGGAATATAAAATATTAAGGAGTTAGGACAAAAGCATTTGCCATAATAAACTATTCTCTCCTATATGGGTTTGGAGTAGGGAAAACATGGCAGTGTTATGATGGCTAGACTTCTTTAAGGCAGTTACCATTGTCACATAGAACCCTGGATGAACAATCATTTCAAGAACTATAATAATTCATCAATTCTGCTATAGAAGAGATCACTCCCAGGACAGCACATTGTCCCCAGACTTCTTACCCAGACAACTTCAGTGAAAAAAAGATCATGAGCCAGTTCTACAGTGGAGAAACAATGCTATGAATGTTATTTTTTGAAAACATAGATGTTGGGGAAAGATACTAGGAGGGATATTGAAAAAAAACTCTTAGAACCTACTTCTATGATTCCAGCATCAGAGATGGAATTCAGAACAGTTACAAACTGTTGCAGTTCCTACAATTTTGGTTTCTCGGTGTGAGGAGGCAAGTTACCAGAAAAATGGTTCTTTTTACTTTACCAGTCCTTTCCATGTCAATCTTTTATTTTTCAGTGTTCTAGTTTACAACTTGCCATAAGAGCTAATAATAAGTGTAAGTGGTTAATGAATTATTCCTGCAGAGGCACTGATTTAGGTTCATTTTTTTTCTAGTATATTGTCCTCAGAATTTTCTATTTTTGGGTTATTATAAACATTTGATCATTAAACATTGGATGCATGTATCAAAATATCACATGGATCCCATACATATGTATAATTGTTGTTTATTCATAAAAATTAGAAAAGAGAAAAAATCTTACATTGCAGAATAGAATTAATTTTAAAATTAGATAGAAATTTCTGACTATTAAGGAGCTTCATTTCTTTTTTTCTCTAGAGGATTTTGCTCTTTAAATATATTTGAGTAGTAATTTATTCCTTTTGAAAGCTTTAATCAGTATCTAAAGCCATGAGGTCCTAACAGTAACTATTATTAAGACTGCTATGGACCAGTGAAACCTCTGGTAATTGAGAAGTTAATTCACCTTCTTACTACTATCTTCCTTAAATTAAGTTCATCAATTTCTGACATGAGAGGTGTGAGAATTAAATGAGTGCAGAAGCAGTGGACTCCTTGCAAAATACTTAAAGCAGAGTTTTAAATTATTCAGTCTAGATTAAGTTTGCTTTTTTACCACTCTTCCAAAACAAGATTATTATATATGATGCAATATTTTATGAACATCTAAATATAAGTCTAGCTATATAGAGCTCTATTATATTGCTATCTTAATTTTTACCTATGTGTGGCCTATCTATTCATCCTCTATCATTTTCCTGCAGTATAAATTTTACTGCAAGAAAAATTATTTTAATACAGGTTGAGTATTCCTTATCCAAAATGAGAAATGTTTTGAATTTCCATTCTTTTTTCAGATTTTGGAATATATACAATGAGATACATTGGGCATGTGACCCAATTCTAAACAAAAAATTTATTTATGTTTATATGTAGCTTATACACATAGCCTGAAGGTAATTTCTGACAACACTGTGCATAAAACTCATTTTGTATTAAGTACGTACGTGTGGAACTTTCAACTTGTGGTGTGATGTTGGCATTCAAAAAGTGTCAGAGTTTGGAGCATTTCAGATTTCAGATTTTGAATTAGGAATCCTCAACCTGTAACATACAAAACAAAAATAGATTAAAAACAATGAATAAATAAGACATGACATATATTAAAATCTTTTTCAGGACACATTTTTATTCTCAGGTGTCAAAGTATCATTATTAAGACTGCTTTCTGCTGTACTCATTAAAAATTTTCAGATCAAATAATATTTAACAGACTGATACAATCAAAATTTTCAGGATTCCAATGTGGAAAATGTTTATTCCCTTCAGAATACCATAAGTATAGAACTAATAGAACTGGAAGAAACCTTGATTCAGTCAGATTTACTCCTTTATGTAGTTGGAACACAGAAAGATATTTTTCAAAGCAATTCTGATGTTTGCTTAGATGCTTGAAAATTCTCTAAAAGATAGGAATATATTGTTAATATACAGAAATTCATGTTCTCAGAATCTATGCAACTCTTAATATTCTCTATCCAAATGATAGTGAAAGAGCAAAAACCCTGTTCTTTGATTTTATCCTGAAAACAAAATTTTTCTAAATTGTAGTACTGCTACATTTAACATCTCTCCATTCTACCATTCCTTCATTTTCTGTTCACCCTTTATTTAAAATTGCATTGTTTTTAATCAGCAAATCCCCCACTGTCACTTCTCCCGTTTTATTTTTTTTGTTGTTAAAGCAATTTCACTTTTAATTTGAAATAATCTAACACAGAAACACTAAAAGTAGGATACAAATAAATTTATCTCGCCCATAAAACCATTTTAGTATAAGCTGCTGGCATTATGTCACATTAATCAATCTAAAATGTCCATGAATTTGGTTTTGTCTGATTTGCTAATGAGTACATTCAGGTTATGCATGTTTTGTAGGAATGCCATAGAAGACATGCTATGTTCTTCACCTTGCATCCTAGCAGCACCCAATTTTAACTTGTCCCATAACTGGTAATATTCACTTTGATAAGATAGACTTTCCTCCTATGTAAATACATATTTTATTTTTAAAAGTGCTTAAAACTCTAGAACTACATTATAACTCACCAAATTTTCAATTAATTAATTTATTCATTAGAGCTTGGGCTCATGGTGTCATACTTTATTCAACATTACTTAGGTGTTTTTGCATTCATGCTTGTGCCAGTGCAAATTCCTTCAAGCTTGATTTTGTGTTCACGTTCCCATCATTCTTTGAGAACTTACTCATTTTCTAGCTCAAAAAAACAGTCTAAGCTTATCTAATAATTTACATGCTGAAACCCTGGAATCAGCCATTTTTCCTGGAGCATGAGTTCCTTTTAGTGGAGAATGGTATTTAGAAACCAAGATAGATGTGTCCATTTATTTTAAGCTGTCAAACTGTCACTGTCCTTGGGCCTTTTAGGGAACTGATGTAGGAAAAATATAATATAATATAATATAATATAATATAATATAATATAATATAATATAATATAGGCTATACTATCATCTGATGTCATGAACACACAGTCATCTTATCTACTGAAAATCATAAGCAGGTACAGACACCTCAAATTTCAATATTAAAAACTGTATATTTCATTATAGTTTTCTTCCTGTCCAATTAATTATGCATAATCCTTCTCTGACAGTGAAAAACCTGGTTTCTACGATCCTTAATATATTCACTTATTTGATCAAATATTCTGTATTTAATCTCACATGGCCACTGCTACATTCTTCTTTATGGAAGTGTCCCCTTCACCACAGTTGGGCTGGGCAGCTACCATTGCTCTTACCTCATACATGGTTATTCCCTCATGCTGCACATGCTTTGAAACTCTGATCTAGGTCACTCTCACTCCAGCATTGGCACCCTCCTCGCTCCACAGAAAGCCCTCCTACATTATGTCTGATTTTCTCTATTTGAGCTTTATTACATCAGTCCTGGCTCTGTTCCTGTGTGGACTCCATCCTCATTGTTTCAGCTCTTACTCTTGTCTCTGATCCCTGTGCAATTATCTGTCTTGTTTGGCCCCACAGAATAAATTAATAGAAACTATTCAGGAAAAGGATGCCGAAAAAGAAAAAGAAAGAAAAAACTGAAGAGGAGGAGGAGAAAGAGTTTTCTCTTTTTACCTATGGGGCCAAACTTGTACATCCTCCAAGTTAGGATTATTTGCATATAGGGGGAAAAGAGAGAAGTTTAGCAGGCAATAAATAAATTACATTTAGATAATAAGAAGAAAGAAGGCTAAGAATACTTCCGCATTAAGAACTTCTCTCTCTTCCATCGTAGCTATTATACAAACACAGTGGAGCCCTCCACACATTCCGGGGTGTATTTAATGCATCTTATTCAGGTGAACTACCTCCTGCATGTGGCTCATTCACTATTTGTCTGTTCAAGTTGATTAAAACTTCTCTAAGCCTCTTTGGGTTTATTGCAACATGTAGGAACCTTTCCACCAAGGCTTTGATTAAAATTATTTGCTGATCTGTTTTCTTCTCCCTTTCCAAGTCTTGTAAACATGATTGTTCCCCACCTAGGAATTTCCCAGATTAAAGGCAACTGTTTTCCAGAGAAAACACAATTTTTCTTAATAAAATCACCACAGAGCGCCTCCATTCACCAATACTACTATTAATAAAATAACATACAGTAATGTGCTGCATGTTTCAGTCAACACTGAACAACATATAAAATGGTGGTACCATAAGATTTTAATGGAGCTGAAAAATTACTATTGCCTAAATGACTATGTTACCAATTTACTTATTTACTATACTATATATTTCATTATTATTTTAGAGTGTCCTCCTGCCACTTATTTATTTAAACAAAGTTAACTGTAAAACAGTCTTGAGCAGATCCTTCAAAGGGTATTTCAGAAGAAGGCATTGTTACAGAAGATGACAATTCCATGTATGATACTGTCCTTGAAGACCTGCCAGTAGGACAAGATGGGGAGGTGGAAAACAGTGATATTGATGATCTTGACCCTATGTAGCCTAGACTAATGTGTGTGCTGTGTCTTAGTTTTTAAAGAAAAACGTTAAAATGCCTAAAAAATTTTTAAATAGAAAAAGACATATAAAATAAAGATATGAAATATTTTGCACAGCTGTACAATGTGTATTTTAAACTAAGTATTATGAGAATCAAAAGTTTAAAAAATGAAACATTTACAAAGTAAAAAAGTTACAGTAAGCTAATATTAATTTATTATCAAAGAAAGAAAAGATTTTTTAAAAATTAGTATAGCGTAAGTGTACAGTGTTTATAAAGTCTACAGCAGTGTGAAGTGATGTCCTAGGCTTTCACATTCACTCACTACTCACTGGCTGACACCAGAGCAACTTCAGTTCTGGAACCTCCATTCATTGTAAGTGTTCTACACAGTTTTACAATTTTTTTAATCTTTTATTCTTTATTTTTATTGTACTTATCTATGTTTTGATACCCGAATAACTCCCATTTTGTTACAGTAGCCTGTAGTATTCAATACAGTACCATGCTGTACTGGTGTGTAGCTGAGGAGCAATAGACTACCCCATATAGCCTAGATGTGTAGTGAGCTATACCATCTAGGTTTGTGCAAGTACACTACAATATTCACACAACGAAGAAAAAGTCACCTAACAATGCATTTCTCAAAACATATCCCCATCATTAAGCAACACATGACTTTAAATGAGGATTCATAGCAACATGGATTTTCATAGAAAACTAGTGTTTAAGTAGACAGTCCATCCACTATGACTACTTTAATAATTACAGGCATAAAATTAAAATAGCTATCATTGTCAATATACACAGTATCAGCATTTTTGACATTAATATTGTATGTTTTCCTGTGATATTCTAGTAATCATAAAAGGTTTATTTACTTAACAAAGTATATGGCCTTTCACAGAATATAAAGTTTGGAGAGAATACTAAGTGTAATCTATGCTGATTCTCACTGATATATATTTCTTAGAGATGCGACTATATTTTAGGTCTTGGATTAGATAAAAACATATTAACACCCATCAGACTGAGCTGATTTGAACAATTACTCAGCCACCTACTTCTTATGCTACATTTAAAATAATTGCTTCACCTTTCTGTGACCTATTCATGTATAAATTGAGGATTATAATATCCTTCTCACAGCATTTTTGTCAATCCTTGTAAATGGCTTTTCATAGTGCCTGGCACATAGTAATTTTTCATTAATTTTAATTTTTTATTGTTATTTTAATTTTAAAGTCTTGAACTCCAGTGGGACTCAATTAATAATCTTCCTCCCTCACCCAAATCAGCCTTCGCACCTTGAGGATGATTGTTAATGGGCTCAGAACCAGAGTACAGAGTATCAGTGAGCAGAGCTTGTGTGTAATGGCTTTGTCTTTGAGACTTGCCTTTTTGGAGTCCTTGTCCTGTGATTAAGAGGATAGGCAGTAGTACTGTGTCCGGAATTGGTGGGTTCTTGGTCTCACTGACTTAAAGAATGAAGCCGCGGACCCTCGCGGTGAATGTTACAGTTCTTAAAGGCTGCGTGTCCGGAGTTTGTCCCTACTGATGTTCGGATGTGTTCGGAGTTTCTTCCTTCTGGTGGGTTCGTGGTCTTGCTGGCTCAGGAGTGAAGCTGCAGACCTTCGCAGTGAGTGTTACAGCTCTTAAGGCGGCGCGTCTGCAGTTGCTCGTTCCTCCCGGTGGGTTCGTGCTCTGAGGGCAGAGAACCAAACCATATAAATCACAAAACAACTAGATATATTTTTTTTTTCATACAGTTACTGTATTTTCAGATTTACCTACCTGGTTTACAGTTTAATTTGCTGGATTGGGCAATATTTTCTATCATCCTTTGTAAGATACACCTAATTAGAATTGTGTCTCTTCTCGTCCTTACATTGTTATTGTTTAGGAGTTTGCTGTCAATCTAAATCCTAATCAAAAGATATCTTTCCCTCTGGCTTCTTTTAAAAATGTTTTCTTTGTCAGAAGTGATATGAAATTTACTGTGATATATCTAGATATGGTTCCC
The DNA here is from genome assembly GCF_000001405.40 of Homo sapiens. NCBI lineage: Eukaryota > Metazoa > Chordata > Mammalia > Primates > Hominidae > Homo > Homo sapiens. The sequence goes on from NC_000010.11 coordinate 56,755,190, forward strand.
ACCATTTAAAAATAAATTTTTACATCCCTCCTTTTATCTAACAATGTTAAAACAATCAGAGACTATTGTGTTTTATATATTCTAAATTTATCTTGGCATATATAAGATGATATATATTTTATAAATAATATTTACATATAATAAATAATATATAGTATATAGAAATGATGTCTATAAATGAGATTTTTAAATATATATATTTGAGGTTTTTTTAAAAATAAAAGATATATTTGTTATAAGGGAAGACACATTTTTTAAAGTTCATAATAAAATAATTGGAAGTTTTGTTTTAAAACCTTCTCAAATGTACAAAATAGATTGCAAATGTAGCACTATAAAATTTCTGAACCATTTGAAAGTATGCTAATACCTAATACCCTATCACTAAAAATCCTTTTGTATATATTTTATACAAAATGCTATATTCTACTAGTCAACCTTAACACAACCATCAAGTTAGGCAATATGCATTGATATGTTACTATCTGAGATTCAAAATTTATTCCAAATTTTTCAATAAGGTCTTTTAAAGCCAAATAATTCAATTCAGAATCATGTGTTCCATTTCGTTTTCAAGTTTCTTTAGTCACCTCCAACTTCAAACAATTCTTTAGTTATTCCTTAACTTTTATGATCCAATGAATCTGAACTTTACAGGTTAATTATTTTATTAAATGTTCCTCAACTTACGTCTGTCCAATGTTTCTTCATGATATGATTCAGGTTTTGCCTCTTTAGCAGGAATATCACAGAATTTATGCTATAATCTCTTTGTGTCCTATTTGGAGGTGCACAATTTAGATTTGTCCCATTAGTAGTGATCATTTCAATCACTAAGTTAAGGTGTCATTTGCCAAACTACCACTCAAAAGTCACAAGTTTTTCCTATGTAATTAATAAATATTTTATGAGGAGTTTATGTGAAACTATGTAAATATCTTGTCTTTATAAAACTTCCAATTTATTCACTTATTAATTGATATTACTCTAGATTTATATTTTCCTGTTTTATTTGATGTGTTATAATCCCTTACTAGCATGATTCCTTTGATGATTAGATTTCCTCAGATTCGGCTTATAGAAATATCTTCAGCATCTGTGTATTTTGACATGGTTGCATCTTTTTTTGAGCAGTTTCTTGTATCAGACACAAGAAGTTGTTCCAAGATCACTGTACAGTCTTGTATAACGATCTCTGTATCAGCATCAGAATCTAGATAGATTCTTAGACTCTGACACACAGTGTACAAACACTTTTTGTGACCACCTTTTTGGCATTCTCTGTGTTTTTCAGAGCTGCAAAGTAATGGCCAGATTTGAGATTTGAACCCAAAAATTAATCTCATAAACATGCTACTTTTATCATGCACATTTAACAAAGGAAGACACTATTCTTAACATTTAAGTAATACTTTGTAGAGTCACACACGAGTAACTAATAGAGCCAGCACACAAATCAAGTTATACATTTAATGTTTTAATAAGACAGTTAGAAATAAGAGCCACAAGATCACCTACTCTGAAAATTCCAGACTAATAGATGTTCTTTGACCATCTAGCCAATAGCAGAAAGAGGACGAGCCTATTGGCTTTCAGATTCCACTACTTGGAGACACCAAGCTCTTCTAGGAACACCATGCCTTCTCAGTTTAGGTATTAAATACTTCAAATGGAGTTCACTGATAAAGAAACAAAATGCCTTGATTTATTCTATTTCACAGACCATTCCTTTGATGCAAAATCTTGGACCATTTGGAAATATTCTAAGGTTTATGCCTCAGACTTTAAAAGACTTTATATCTAGTCACAGCCATGGAATTCACATATAAATGCCCAGAAACTACAGCCAACACAGATCCTAGTATGACAGCTTCTACATGTATAGAAGAAGCCTAAATTATACTTCAGCCAATAATTTATATACAGTTGCATTAAATTAAATCATTTTTTAAGTTTTTCTTGTTATGAATGGGATAAACTAATGTTCATTCTAATAAGCTAATACACTTAAAATCTTAATTTTTTATTTTTAAAATAAGTGTGTTTGGTGTTTAGATATCAAAAGCTAACATTCTAGGATTATAAAAATCGGATTCTTCTTTTATGAAAGAACAGAGACCTCAGAACTGCCTAATACCCCCTAATATTATTTTTCAGTTTTCCTCTGGATGACGTAAATGAGCTGAATATGCTGAGCCAGTATTTTTTTAACTTCATATTAGTCAGTTCATTCCATGAGATTAATCTCTGGATTCAGTAAAATATAAAGGAATTACTTAAATTAGCTTCTAAAGCTGGAGATATGCTTTGAAAATACATGTCCGATAGTGCAAAACTAATACATTTGTTAACAGAGGTCAAAATCAGATCTGCATCTTTATTAATAATTTAATGTTAACAACTAAATTATAATCTGAAATCAAATTATAATCTGAAATCCAAAACTAACTTTTTAAAGGAATATTTACAAAATATTGTTCTTCAAGAATTATGAAAATATAAGTACATTACAAAGTAGAATTCCTTTTATAAAGCATGTCTTTCTTACTCTTAATGGCTATTCTGGAGCAAGATATCAGGGAAGAGTGAACAGTAAATGTGCTTCTGTGTTCACTCCGTGTAATTATTTGTTCAACAATATTTTATGACTTTTCAAAGCCAAACGAAGAGTGTCTACTCCACATGGACTCTTCACAGCTGTAGATTAAATTTTCTTCAAGGAGAACAGCTTTAGATATAATTCCTTATGTTATAAAAATCGAATCATAATTACCTTCAGTTAGAGAAGCTGGTATGCAAAAAATTGCTGATATTTAGACCCAAACTTGTGATGAATAAACTGTGGCCCTCCAGTATCCATTTCACATATTTTGGCTTCAATTCTATGGAAAAAAAAGTTTCATTATAGTGGGAAGCAACGTATCTCTTAAGTTTCTGAATAATACTGAATAATGATGAAAGTAAACTGAAGCAAACTTGCTAAAACATTGAGAATAGTGGCTCAATTGTATTAGTTTCCTAAATTACAGCCATATAATCTTATATAGTACTAAATCTTTATTTGTTACTGCCAAATTCTCCCATCTCGATCCACTCAACTCAAAAATAATTTATTGAATAACCGCTCTAGGTACCAGGTACTATGCTAGGACTATAAGAGAATCCACATCAGTGTGGGCCATAGTTACTGCTCTCAAGATTCTGACTCACAATTTGAAAAATAAGACAAACTTTTAAAAAGGCACTTAACAAAGGAAAAAATATATTGTCAAATCAGTAGCAGAGAGAAATGCTCTAAAAATCTAGAAAACAAAAATACCAGTGGGATAAAATCTTATACCAAGTATTAATTTTATTCAACTATTCCCAGGCTTATGGTTATTTGTGAATAACCTAGTAATGAACCGGAAAACAAAAACCACAAGTCCTTCATATTTAAGTCCATAGTCTTCCGGTATAAACGTAAGACAGAAAGATTTGGATGCCTATGTTAAAAGATGACTCGTGGCGAGAAATCAGAAGAAGAAATACCACACGGGCAGGAGAGCATGAGGACCAGAAACATGTATTTTCAACTGAAGAAGCACTATCCCTGGACCATGTTTTCGGAGTCCTTTGAAGAGACGGGATGCCCTGGAGATAAGGCGAGTCAACCCTAACCAAGATGAGACTAAAAGGACTCAAGGCTGAGGTCACTCAGAAGCCTGAACAATAAAGATATACTTACGGTACTTGGGGCCTAATATATAATGTAGAAAAAAAGTAGTTTGGGAAGACTTCATTTAAAGCATAAAACTTGAACAGAGTCCTGAAAGAGTCCAACATAGTTCTAGAAGTACTAACATTCAGAGTAACAATGGGATTGTTAGTCGAGAAGAGTTAGGATTAGAATTTATTTAAATATGAAAAGCTTTATTTCTGTCACAAGTTCAAAGAAGCAAATTTAGATTTTAGAATAAATCTAAGACTCATTGCTAAAACATAGGAGGTCAATTATAAGAAAACACTCAGGGTTAAGAATCTATATCATCCATAGAAAGATAACAGGAGCAGAATAAATGAAAACATTTAGAAAGTATATTAATATTCTTTGGCTTCTATACCACAATACCATAGCCTGAGTTGTTTAAGTAGAAGAAAATTTTATGTATTATAGTTTTAGAGGTAGAGAAGTCCAAGATCAAGGTGCCAGCCTATGGAGTTCCTGGTGAGGGCTCTCTTCCTGCATTGCAGATGGCTACCTCTTCACTGTGTCCTCACTTAGGAAGAGAGAAAACAAACTCTCTGATATGTCTTATTGTAAAGGCAGTAATCCCATCAAAAGGACCTCACTCTCACAGTCTCATCTAACGCTAATTATCTTCCAAAGAGTTCATCTCAAAATACCATCACATTAATGGTTAGGGCTTTAACATTTGAATGGGGTGGGGGTGTATAAACATTCATTGCATAATAGTGAGTTTTAATGCAAGGGTATGGGCATGGGTTAGGACTTAGAATTTGTTCCTGGTATGTACTTCCTGCTTAGAGTACCTAACCTGTAGGAGTTAACAGCACTTTGACGTGGATAAAAAGGCATTACAATAATTTTTGCCTTGATTAAATAGGGGAATAAGATGTGGATACTAACTCACATAATTTCCTTAAGAAAGGTGGGCAGAGATAGTGACACAGTTACACAGTTGTCCGGGCAGCTCAACCATTCTCTGGGCCCTGGAGCACTGAATTTATGCCTTAGTCGTCTCAGTTCTTTGAATCTATAGTAACTTTTTAGGAGACTTTCAAGAAACAAAAATACTTGTTTAAAATAGTAGTAGGAAAGCCAATTCTTAATAACCAGGATGAGTGCGATTTTCTAAGTAAAATAATATTTGAATGGATGGTTGTGATAGATACTTTTTAAACATTAAATATGTGTGTGCGCATGTGAGCCTCTGTGGTGGGTGTGTGTATATATGTGTATACGTACATAAAATATTACAGAGAGGGATGAATAATTTAAAATATGCATTCTATATTTTAATGTTTCAATTAAAACTAGTTGCATATATATATACAATTTTTTCTACTGTTACACTGATATGTGATGGCTCATTATCCTGACAAAAAGCCCTGGCTAGTAAATAAGTACTTTTTGTGCCTATTGTCACAGAATGTTTCCTGCATCTATTTTACTCAACAAACTACTTAGCTTGCACCTCTGTCAAGATTCACTGCCCCTTTTGCAATATTAGAGTTATGAAGAGGTAAAGTTAAACCATTAAGAGTAACTCCTGTGGTGTTCAGGTTTTCAAGTCAGTCACTCGGCTTAATTATGTTTTCCCAAGGGATGGAGAAAAATGAATTCTTGATGCAGTGCTCAGCTCTAGAGTTGATCCTGAATATTTCCCCCTTATCACAATTGTATGGGAGACTCAAGAGACTACTGCATTTTTCCATTACTTTACAGTAATATCTATGAGACCAAGTAGGGCAAATTAAGGAGAGTAAGGTGGGTAATTTTATCCTAAATAGCTAAAATAATAAAAGACAAGGTTGTTTGGAACAGAGGTAGGGAAAACCGAAAACACTTACAGGAGGGAAAAGTAATGACTATTCAAAATGTGACTTAGCAAGGTCCAGGTAAAGTTATCATGAAGTAGTAGCAGAGATATCAAAACAATTTGACAACAAATGTGATTTTTCCAAATTTCTTTTGGCTGTAATATTCCAGATCAGTGCTACCCAATTCCAAAATGATAGCCCTTATAACAACCCTCAAAAAAGAAGAAATTTCATACTTCTAGGCCTATGGAAAAATTCACCTGGAAAATAGGATGCTATTGTAGACTCCATCTCCAGCTCTCTGCCTCCACTTATTTCTGTAGATCTAATTCATTCTTCTCTCAGCTAACAGTTTATGAGTTCTAATTATGCTTACCTACTTTCAATCCCTGTAAGTTCATATCACACGTGGTTTTAGTTGTCATGATACCACTTCTTGCTCTAACTTTACATGATCTTTCCTCTGATTCTTTAATGCCTCAATTCTCAGTTGATCAGGAAAAAATACGAGTTTGCTCTAGTTGGGATAGGTATTCATGCCATTTAAATCAATTACAGGTGGAAGTGGGATCATGTGGTACCAACCTGACTACTTTGCTGTTGCTATGAATATTTTGTTTTAGGCCAAAGTAAGGAACAGTTATTTCACAACATGTTTTCTATTTCATGAATCGTATTTAAGACAACACTAACCTTAGTAACAAGGACATTTCTGCCACCTTCACCATCAACTATAAACTAATTATCTCCCTTGGATTGCTTTTCTTCATCACCATATAGCAGGCACTATAGTGACTATTTTTCAGAAAAGAGCAGTGAGCCAATTAAGATAACATGGGCTCTATTTCCAAGCCAACTATATATATCGTGTGACCTTCATAAGGTTATGTAAACTTATTGGTCTGTAGCTTTTTGTTTGTCTGTTTGTATTTTAATGGCAATGTGGTTGGAGGCTCACAAGCTGCCCATCCGTATGCTCCCCTAGAGGTTTGAGCAGCAGAGCACTGAAGAAGTGAGCCACTCCCCTATCACACACCCGGCAAGGGAGACAAGGGAACTTTTCACATTTTACTACTATTTGATCTGGTAATCCCACTGCCAGGTACATACTCAGACAAAAATAGATCATTCTACCAAAAAGACACATACACTCCTATGTTCATCACTGTGCTATTTACAATAGCAAAGACATAGAATCAACTTGGTCCCTATTAATGGTGGACTGGATAAAGAAAATGTGGTACATATACACCATGGGATGCTACACAGCCATAAAAAACAAAATCATGTCTTTTTCAACAACATGAAGCCTGAGGCCATTATGCTAAGCAAATTAACACAAGAAAATAAAAACATATACTACATGTTTTACTTATGGTTCTAAGTGTGTAAGCTAAACATCAGGTATTTATGGACATAAAAATGGCCGCATTAGACACTGGAGACTACTAGAAAGGAGAGAGAGGTAGAGGGGCAAGAATTCAAAAAAGAAAACCTAACTATTGGGTACTATGCTCAGTACCTGGGTTATGGGATCATTTGTACCCTAAACCTCAGCATCACACAATATACCCAGGTAAAAATCGTGCACATGTACCCCTTAATCTAAAATAAAAGTTGAAAAAAAAAGAAAACCAGTAACTTATAATCATGTTGAGAACATCACTCTCTCCAGCCACTAAAGGAGTGTAATTAATTAAAGACTCCTTCAAAACCTTATTACCAGAGAATTGTAATTATTTTACCTTTTAAGTGGTTCTCTGGACAACCTCATTCACGTGACTTTTCTTTGTTTGATTTTACTTTAAGTTCACCCAATATGAACAGCATTTTTCCTAGGGGCTCTTTGTCAAAAAGAAAAAAAAAATCAGTCAGAATTGTTTAATATCATGGCTGCCTGAGGCAGAAGATAACAATGGTCCAAGTGAATAACTAACAAAAAAGTTGAAAAATAAGATGTCCATATGATAGCAACAGAAGGCAGACAAATACCAAAGCAGATAGGGGTGGGTCCCCAGTGAAGCCCTACCTCCAAGCTGAAGACAGTTTCAAGCCTGAAAGCCAGGCTATAAGTCAAATCTGCTGACATGATTGAGAACCTGTCTTCCCATTTGGCATGATTTCCTCTGATTGATTCCCACCCCTCACCTATTTTTCATATACCTACCCTTTCCTTTCCTAATTGGTTTTCTATACTGCTGTCCCCACCTTTGAGTGGTGTCTTTGCTTTAGTCTTTCTTTTCATACTCCCAAACCAATCAGCACACACTGCCCTATTCTGAGCCCATAAAAGCCTCGAACTCAGCCACACGGAGAGAAACTATCCAACTGTGGGGGCAGGAGACCACCTCTCTCCACTGAGAGCTGTTCTGTTGCTCAGTAAAATTCTTTTCCACCCTCCTCATCCTTGAATTGTCAGCATATCCTCATTCTTCTTGGACATGGGACAAGAGCTCGAGATCCACCAACACAGGTACAAGAAATAACATAAGTAGGGTGAGGCACTCCTGGCCCAGCTGTGGGATAAGCTAGTGTACAAGTCAGACTCAGCCCCGGTGGATGAGTGGGCAGGGCACCTCCAGTGGCAGGTTGTGTGCCCAAGTGAGACCAAGGCAGGGGCATTGTTGCTGGCCAGAGGTCCCCAGCTGGCAAAGAGGCCAAGAAAAATGCTGCATCACATGAGGATTTCAAAAATTTGTGACATATTCTTAAGAATACACTGTGCCATACAATTGAGTAGGGCTGTGTGCATGGCAAGAGCTGTGCTCATGTATAGAAAAGACCTGAGAAGGCCTTAAGGTCTCACCTCTCGCTGACGTTATGCTCTATGGAAGCATGAAGTAAAGGTTAAGGCTGAATTGCAAATTGATCTCCTGTGTTAAAGGTGTGCCCACTATACACATAGAATCTCCGGCAAAGACTTGGAGATGTATTGGTTCCAAGCATGTAAGGAAATTATGGTCTAATCATTAGCTGTTAACTAATGTAAATGAGCAAAGACTTCAGTAGCAACATATAACAAACAATACAGACTTTACAGAATTTCTTCAAAAAAGTCACTAACCAATAATGGTGAAAACAACAAATAACCAAAACAACAAACCTCAAATAGAGTTACCAGATTATATTGTTTAAATGCTCATTTTTCAACTAAAAGTTATTAGATATGCAAAGAACAAGAAAAAATGACCAATACACGTAAATAATACAAATTAGTAAGTAGAAAATTTCCTGAGGAAGTGCAAATGTTGAAGTTATAGAATAAATATTTTAGCGATTTTAAGTATGTTCAAAAAAACAAGAGAAACATAGCTAAAAATACAAAGGAATATATGAGAATAATGTCTCCACTAATAAAGAATATCAACAAGTATATATGAGTTATTTTAAAAAAGAAACAAATAGAAATTTAATCCTGATGACAATAATTAATTTATACATACAAGGGGTTCAACAAAATCCAGTATGGTTAACCCAAATAGATCTGCAGAAGACACATAATAACCATATTTTCAAAAGCCATTGTCAACAAAAAGAGTCAAACTCTTTAAAATATTTGAAGAGATTTATTCTGAGTCAAATATGAGTGACCATGACCTGTGACACAGCTCTTAGAAGACCCTGTGAGCATGTGCCTAATGTGGTCAGGGTAAAGCCTGGTTTTATACATTTTAGCAAGACATGATCAATACATTGAAGATATACATTGGTTTAGTCCAGAAAGGCAGTACAACTCAAAGTGGGGGCTTCCAGGTTATAAACAGATTTAAAATTTTTCTGATTAGCAATTGGTTGAAAGAGTTATTATCAGTAGAAAAGAATGATAAGAGGTTGTGGAGACAGAAGTTTTAGCATGAAGATGAAGCCTCCAGGTAGCAGGCTTCAGAGAGATTAGACTATAAATGATTTTTATCAGACTTAAGGTTTGTGTTAATATTAAATGCTGGTAGGCTTTTTCTGAATTCGAACAGAGAAGAATGCATAATTGTTACCAACACACCAGGGATTTGATCTAGGTCCTGCTGCTTGCCACACAGAAAGTCAGTCACTGAGATGATGATCACTGTAAAGGAAGACAGCTTTAATTGGGTGCTGCAGCCAGGAAGATGAGAGCTCCATCTCAAATCCATCTCTCTGACTAACTAAAACCAGTAGTTTATACAGCAGGAAAAGAAATGTAACACTGTGTAAGAAAACAGGAACTAGGGAGAGACAAGGGAGCAATCATCATGGATGAGGGGTCCAGCATTTCATTGTCCAGATGCAATGATCTGGTGTAAATCCTCTGATGCTTTTTCTTGTGAGGCCTGAAGGTCATTTCCTGAGGAAGGAACTCAGATAAAACAAATATAAGTTTCAAGCTTTAAGACCAGAAGGGTGAATTTCTATGTTTATCGAAACAACAACTCTCTGCAGGACTATTGGGTCAGTTTTGGTCACCCCTTTTTATTTATCAATTCCTCAGTCATTGGGAATCTGGTCAGTGATTTTTCTGGCTGCTTCGTGCTGAAGAAAGTCATTGCGGGCCACTCCATACCATGGGTGATCTTGTGGCCACCCAGAAATCAAAGGCTAATCTAACACTACAGTTTTCTACTAAAACACAATCTTTCTCTCTCCAGTTCCATCACTTCTGGCAAAGACAAATCACAGCAGGATTAATCTAAATACAAAATAAGCTTCAGTCCTATATTCTTGGTCTGATTACCCAAACAAAATGTGACAAGAAACATTGTCCATAGAGGCTCTCATAAATGGACTTTTCTTGAACCTATCACAAGGCAATTTAATCAAGGCACAGGAAAAATAACCAGTTCTTCCAACTCTGTCACATTATAAAATAAAACAGGTTCTTATTAAACATGTACAAACCACTTACATTGCCACGATTTAAGGATATTCACAAATAATTTACAAATTTTAGAGAAATTAGGCAGAGGGAAAGATATGCCTCAAATTCTTTTTACAAAAGTATACTCTACTCAGTATATTTGAAGCATATTTAAAGGCTGTAAATCTCTCAAAAGGCAAAAATTCTCCAAAATCTATAAAACGAAACAAAAAGAATTTCAAAGGAAAAAAAGACATAAAAGATTATTTCAGTCCTCCATTAGTTCAGGCCATGCAATCAACTCCTACTCTGCTTCATATTGGTTTAATAATGTTTATGAATACAAGGGCCTTTCAATTAGTGCACTGGAATATCTCTCTCTAATCCAATGTCACAATCTCCAAAGTTATCAGCAATCTACACTCAAGTGTCTTTTTTTGTGAACTCCTCCAAAGAAGCAAGCTTTGGACTGTGGCTGATTATGTCACATGTTTGAGAAGGATCAACCTTAAACATCAATTGTGAATGACAAAAGTCGTAAGATAGCCATAGTTAAAGACACAGTTGACAAGGAAATTTGGTTATTTCTGGGGCACACAGCAATTTAAAATAATAATCATTTTTACTGAAAACATGTATTAAGATGTATTAGAATTTTAGGAATCTCATACAATCCTGGAACACATATTATCAACACATCTATATAAATATATCCCAACGGAAGCTAAACACCACCTCAGATTTGACAAAGCTTTCTGCATAATTCTAACAAAACAAAAACTGTAATATAGGACTAATATGTGTCTCTTGGTCTTCAAGAAACCTAATGTCCAAAAAAATAGTTTGAGGTCAAAAAGCCCGAATTTAGAACTTGAAATTTTGCTGTTGGAAAGTTGGCCAAATATCAAAGTATTAAGACCCTTAATATCACAAATTGAATCACGAGTCATTTTAGTCATTCATTTAGCAAGAGTGATAAAAGTATTTACCTTTTGATAGAGAGGAGACTTAGTTTCCCAGAATATAAGACCTAATGAAGACAGCATGAGGCCACCTAAATCTGTCTCTCCCTGCTCTATTCTGTACCTCCAGTGTTCTCAGAAGATAAAATCTTTTATCTTTTAATATTACACAAGCATTTTTTCAAAAGAGAAAAAATTATTTTTGTATGGTTTATTTTTAATGATAAAGCTAATTTAATAAAACCTTATAAACAAATCTATGTAATTTTAATTAGTTTGACCATAAGGTAAGATTTCCATAAACATTTTATAACAATTTTCCATTTCTATTAGAGTAGATGAGTGCTTCAAGGAAACGTTTTTATTTCAACACATGGGCCCAGACATTGGGCTTGCATCAGGGTGTTTTTAATATTAAGGTTTAACTTATAGAAACACTGAACTAATCTTATCCCTCAAAATTAGCCCTTGCAATTTCATGCACACACCTCTTCTGTGATAGTCCCTGGGCCTAATGGGATTGAATAGTTGTAATTTCTGGCCTTGAGTCTCACGAAAACATGTATTTTGATTGTCACCTTCTCCCAAGTCTGAAGATGAGGCTTCAAAGGGTATCAATACTCAAGATTTAGTAGGAATTGGTGCCTTTTCAGACCCAAGAGTCAAAGCCCTGTAACTTAATAGCACTAAAATCAGATAAAATAATATTTATACTACAGAAAGTCCTGTCATTCTCTCTACCCTGTTACAAATTATGACATTGGGATTTGGTGTTTATTAATTACTGCCTGTATCATGTAAAGTAGTGAGGTTACTCATTGCATATGTCTAATTTCTAGCATTCTAGTGACAGAACTGTGACCAAAAGCATAAAAAACGTGATAGCTCCTATGTCAAACTTATCAAAGTAAGAAAACTAACTTTTATCTCCATCATGAAAAAGCGGTAAGTGCAAATATCACTTTTGGAAAATTAGCATCAGGATAATAATCTCCTTTCACTTAAATACTGTACAACAAAACAAGGACAAAGTAAGGAAAAACACACAATAATTCATTTTCAGCTATTTAAAAGAGCATTATCACACATGACCAATATTGGTTTTTAGATACTGTCAACTGATTAGGTAACTTTCACCACAAAAATCTTAAAACCAGTGTAACATTTGTACATATTTTGTTTTCAAATACACACACAAAGGCCCATCAGTGATAAACAGCTTGGGATCAAAAATCAATAGAAAGTATCACATTTTTAGAAAATTATTACTACTTAATCCAAGCAAGTGGCACTTAATTTTAATAAGTCAATATAACTAAATTAGTTTCAGATAGATCCCAATCAATACAATTTCCTTAAGGAGAAGACCAATATTCACTGAACATTACAACTTTGTACCCATACCCATATCACAGTTTCTCCCCATTAAAGGAAAAGATCTGAAATCAGCTCATATTATTGACAGAACTGAATTACCTTGGAAACGGAAACACATTTAAACTCTTCTAATCTCACCTACTTTTCCAAATAACAAACTATATAATATAACATTTCTGCTAAGAATTTGTAAAAACCAGTCTTTTTTACCCCAGGAACCTTAAAGCTCTTCTAGCTCTCTAGATCATCAGAGGAAAAAAAAGGAAATTTTTAAATGGCTGGTGTACTCTATCAATTTTTGTAGGCTTGACAATGGTAGCTTAGGGATTCTAGATAAATAGAACAAATGATGAATTATTATGGAAATGCATAGGAAAAAAATGACTATTCATAAAATAAAATGAAGTTATCTTATTTCAAACTAAAAAACATCAATGTTTATATATATATATATATATATATGTATACATAAGTAAAACACAAAAAAGAAAAAAAAACAGCAAATAAATAAAACTTACAAGCAAAAACAAACAAATGGGAGACCAACCCCAAATTTTTCTCCTGCTCAGTTTACCTTGAAGCCTAAAGTGTTACAGAGAGCCTAAAAAAAGAAAACATATGATACATATTTTGTTCCTGGTACACAAATTAATGTCTAAGTCCAATACCACTTTACATTTTGTGCAATTAAGAAGTTCACTTAAGTACAAGACCATTAAGTACTTTAGTGCTAGTACTGTCTATGCAGAAGAGCAAAGACAGTGTGAAACAAAGGAATGCAAACATTCATGTGAAATTTGACTGTATGTTAAATCTTGCTTCATACTTAACTATATAAGAATTGCCAATGTATTTCATTATAATATTTGTTAATTTGCCTTCATCAAGACTAAAAGCTTTAAATATGAGCAAGGTTAATTAGTCAAATTTCTCCAATTTCCTATCAGGTTTTACAGAATATTTTATTATCTAAAAGTTCTTCAACTTTCTATTTATTCGGTATGTGCATGAAGATGGACACACAGAACAATGGTAAAAACACTATATATGACATACACAGACCATCAACGACATGCCTCACTGTGAACATACCTGGGCTTTATTTTCAGTCTCAGATTTTCTTCTACTCCTTCTTGTTTTCTGTAAATAACCAGTCATTTTACTCAAGACAAAAAAATTACATACAAAATTCTTTCTCATACAAAATTATTCTCCTTTCTTTTTAATTGTTTTTTACTAAAAAATTACATCTTTATATTCATAACTTTCTTCACATTTCTCTCCTCTATTTCCTGGTTCCCTTTTAGCTTGTTTAATAAATAATTCTTCAAGTCCATAAATTGAATTAACTTTAGATAACTTCTCAATTAGACAACAGTTTTTTCTTACTAATAACACATCTTTTTAAACACATAATATATACAAATTATCTATTAACTATAACTCTTATCTTAGGTTTTAGTGAAAACCTAAGAAGCAAGAAACTCTGAACTGTCTATCAGATATTAGCACTTTATAAATAATAAAAATTCTATACTTTTAGTTAGAACCCTTTCTTAATTGGAAATGACCCAGATTTCCAATGAGCATCAAAATAACTTTAAGACTTTAAGTTACACAAAAAGCTAATGTATTGTACTTACCTATTTACATTTTACGTATTTTTACAGTTTATCTAGATTATTTATGCATAATTTATTTTCTCATTAACCTTTTTTTTTGAGATGGAGTCTCACTTTGTCACCTAGGCTGGAGTGCAATGGCATGATCTTGACTCACTGCCATCCTCTGCCTCCCGGGTTCAAGCGATTCTCCTGCCTTAGCTTCTCGAGTAGCTTGGATTACAGGCATGCACCATGACCCCCAGCTAATTTTTGTATTTTTAGTAGAGATGGATATTGGCCTTTTGTGCAGGCTGGTCTCGAACTCCTGACCTCAAGTGATCCACCTGCCTCAGCCTCCCAAAGTTCTGGTATTACAGGCATGAGCCACTGCGCCTGGCCAACCTTTTTTTAATCTACGAATATCAGGTGTTCAGCTAAATAAGATCCTTAAAGTTAACATCATGGACATTTTAACAAATAACTCGGAAGATTTTGCTGTTTTTATTAAACCAATAACATTAAATTAGTCTTCCCCCAAAATTCACACAAATACAATTTTGTTCTTTCTGGTTTATAGTTTTATAACCTTCTGTTACAGACCCTCATATCTCAAAATATATAGCAGAAAAATATATAAAACCTTGACAAAAATGTATACTGACAATTCTGAAGACTCCTCTATTTTTTATTTTGCCAATAATTTTAAAGACATTTTAATTTTACTAATAATTTTAAAGCCAGCTTGTTTAGTTAAATTTACTTAATTCATGTGAACTTCAAAATTGCTTGGATTTATTTACTTCATTTATGAGCACTCTTATTTATAAGCCAATTTCATAGACACAACATATAACATAAGTATGCACACAAATAAACACATCTAAATGTGTTTATTTTCAGTCCCAGATTTTCTTCTTCTCCTTCTTCTTCTACACACACACACACACACACACACACATCCAATAGGTTTAACTTGCAGCTCTAGCCATGAGATAGCAATACAAACTCACTAGTCTGCAAACATATTCACATGGCTGAATTTTGTTAGTCCTGTTAAGTAATCACGTGAAGGCTGTGAACTAAAATTCTGGGTAAAGAAATTTCCATGGCAGTTTTATTTTTAAAGGCTAAACTTCCCCAGACTCCAAGGAGCACTAGGGCCAAACAGCACCACTGAAGACCACCACCTGGAACTTACCAACCAGGCCCAACCCTGGTTAGAACAGCAACATAAAAACCTGGATACAGGGAACTCCATCCCACTTTCTCATTCAACAGCAAACTCCAGGTTCCAAAGTATATTGGGGCCAAACAGTATTACAAAATATCAAATTTACTGAATTCTAATTTCACATGAGTATATCAAACACACACAATTACCAAAACAAAACACAATCCATCTGCTGCAGCAACAAACAAGTCCCAGGAGTGTCCAAACTGAAACAGTCATGATGTTTCCTCTCTCCATCAGTTGGTCTTGATCAATCTCAAAAAAAGACTTCCCAATTTAGAGGAGTTGATCCTGCTGCCTGGTATCCAAAAAAGACACTCACTTGCCCAGACATACACACAATTACAAACAAGCTCCAAAGAGTGTCCATACTGAAACAGTAAGGGTACTTCCCTCTCAATCAGCTGGGCTTTTTCAACCTTCAAATGAAAATTCCTTTAAATTCCCAGATTGAAAGGAGTATATCCTACTGTCTGGGCGCATAAAGGACACTCACCTAATCCAGAGTCAGATGTCAAATTTCAAAGGCAGTTCTAAGACAATCAGGAATGTAGTTGGGGCCAGTTTTGGTAGTGTCAGAGAGCGACTGAAACTCACCTCCACCCAAAATTGGGTGACCAGCTGCTTTGGAGGGCTCCTGAGAATCCTAGCTCAAAGCAGCCGAGCCATAGGCAATGTCTTCCTGGTCAGGAAACCAAAATCTGTCACTGAAACTTCAGGGGTTTGGTCTAGGTCCTGCTGTTTGCTACACAGGCAGTCAATTACTGAGACAATGATTATTGCCAAGGAAGAAGGCTTTATTAGGGTGCTGCAACCAAAGACATAGGAGCTCAGGCTCAAATCCAGTTCTCTGACCCACTAAAACCAGGGGTTTATATGGGAGAAGAAATGCAACAATGTACAAGAAATAAGAATGAGGAAGGGGCAGGGAAACAATCATGATGAATAAAGAGTCTGACATCTCATTGTCTGGATGCCATGATGGATTGAGTTTCAGTTTTTTGATACTTTTTTTTGAGAGGCCTGAAGGTCATTTCCTAAGGAAGGAAGTCAGATAAAACAAAGATAACTTTCAAGCTTTAAGACCAGAAAGGTCAATTTGTAAATTATAAGAAATAAAAATAAAAAAAAAACTGTGGGACAATTGGATTGGTTTCAAAATGAGGCCTGTCTGACCCCACCCTCCCATGGTGTCCTGAACCAGTTATTTCAGGTTAAATTTACAGTTCCCTTGCTGAGAGGAATGTCCATTCAGATGGTTGCGGGGGGGCTACTGAATTCTAGAAAATAAAGAAAGAATCTTGAAAATAGCAAGAGAGAAGTAACTCAAAACATACAAAGAACTCTCAATGTGATTGACAAAGAATTTTTCACTAGAAGCCAAAAAGTCAGAAGGCCATAGATGACATATTCAAAGGGGTGAAAGAAAAGATTATTAACAAAAATGTTATTTCCAGCATAAAAAAAGTTATTTTAAAATGAAGAAGAAATATATTGCCAAATGAACACATCCTGAGAAATCATCACCAGCAGGCCTGTATTACAAAAAGTACTAAGGAGAGCCCATGAGGTGGAAAGCAAAGGATAAGACACAATAGATCAAATCCATATGAAGAAATATTGAGTGCCAGAATGGTAATTACATAGATAAATATAATATAGAGTATAAATCTAGGTTTTGGGCAGTACTTTTTTTCTATTTGATTTAAAAGACAACTGCATAAAGGAATTAATATATGTTGGTTTTGATATAAAAAGATGTGCTTTGTGTGACAATAATAGTAGAAAGGACAGTGGAGGAAAAATACTATAGAGGAGCAAAGTTTTGGTATTCTATGGAAATTAAGCTAATATTAATTTGAACTATGTTGTCAGTTAAGATGCTATTAATAATAATCTCCAAGGCAACCACTGAGAATTAACACAAAACATATAGTAAAATAAATAACAAATTAAAATGATTTACAAGAAAATATCTAACAGAAAACAAGGTGTTAATGTTGGAAGAACAAAACCAAAATGATGTAACATATAGAAAACGAATATCTACATGTCAGATGTAATTTCTATCTTAATGGTAATTACATTGAATATAAATAGATTAACTCTGTAATCAAATGGCAGAAATTGGCAGACTGTATATAAAAAAGATAAACAAATTATATTTTGTCTTTAAGAGACACATTTTAAAATCAAAGACACAAATAGATTGAGAGTAGAAAAATTTAAAAAGATATACCATGCACAACATAGTCAAAACTGAGCCGTAGTGGCTATACTACTATTAGGCAAAATAGAATTTAAGACATAAATTCATACTAGTGACAAAAAAGGCATTTCATTTTTATTTAACTTTTAATGTATTTTATTTCAATAGCTTTAGGGTACAGTTGGCTATAGCACACTTCCCACTTGCCCCTAAGTTCCGGCCAAGGAAGTTTGGCCCCACTCAAGATAATATCACAAATCTTAGTTGGGAGTTTCTCTCAACCTGTGACCACTGCCTGAGTTACCTGGCACATGTCTATGAGGTTCCTCTATGAGGTAGGATTGAGAATGGCTTCCCTCCTTCCCTGCTGGGGTCTGGGAGTGTATCCAGAGTATATCCTTTTGCTGCTCCTTATCATATACTTCCTACACCTCACTAAATCAGCTCCAGCACTGGGTAGGGTTAAGGCCTTGCCCCATGGCCTACATTGCCTGGCTCCTCAGTAGGAATGTGAATCATAGAGAAAGTCTCTTCCCCTTTCACACTCTGGAGACACAGTTTTTCACGTGGTTCATTATGTAGGCTTCTGCCCATTGTTTCTTTCAAAGTGTTTGTGGTTTCTTTCAATTTTTCTCTTGAGTCCCTGGGTTGCTCCTTGGATGAAAGTTTACACTATGAATCTATACACACTATTTTGTCTTTCCTAATAGGAGAGTTATCCTAAAAAAGCCTCCAATCCACCATCTTGGAAAAACAAGAGAAGGACATTTTGTAATGAGAATGGGTTAATCCTTCAGGAAGATAAAACAATTATAAACATATATGCACATAATAACGAAGTCAAAAATTACATTTGGCAAAAGCTGATGGGACAGAAGGGAGAAATAAAGAGTTCAACAATAATTGTTGGAAACTCTAATATCACTTGATAGATAAAACAACTATACAGAAGATAAATAAGGAAGCAGAAAACTGTGCAACATCATTAACCAACTAATAGACACATAGATTATTCTTACCAACAAGAGGATAATACACATTCTTCTCAAGTGCATATGCACAAGCTGTGAACATACTGAGTATGAAATTAAGAAAACAACTTACTACAGCATAAAAATAATAAAATACTTAGGAATAAATTTAACAATGTTTTCAAGACATACAGAGGATATTACTACTTTCACTGAAAACAATTGAAGAAAACATATATAAATGGAATGACATCCTATGTTCATGTATGGGAAGAATTAGTAATTTTAAGATGACAATACCCTAAAAACTGATTCAGTAATTCAATACAAACTCTATTAAAGTATCAATTGTCTTTTGTTGCACAAATACTTAAGCTGATCTTAAAATTTATGTAGAAGACAAGGGAATCTAGAATAGTCGGAACAATCTTGACAATAAGAACAAAGTTGGAGGACTCACAAAATCCAATTTAATAACCTGCTATTATAGTATTCAAGACTGTATTTAAAAGTATTAATACTATATTATAGTATTCCATACTATATTTTTATGTACTGGCATAATGGTAAACATTTAGAATAATCTTCAAGCATTCTCTGAAAATTAAATGATGAAATAATAGTCTTTTCAACAAATGATGCTGGAACAACTGAATATCCGCATGCAAAATAATGATGTTAAATACCTACCTCCTATTAAATGCAAAAATTAACTCAAGTGAATCAAAGACCTAAGTGTAAGTGATAAAACTAAAGCTCTTACATGGGATAAAACCTTATAATATTGAACTAGTAAATAATATCTAAGATATGATACTCAAAACACAAAAAGCAAAATGAAAATTAAATAAATTAAACTTCATCTAAATTAAAAACTTTTGTACTTCAAACGATTCATTCAAGCAAGTGAAAAGGACAACCCTAGCATTTGAGAAAATTTTTGAAAATCATATATATGAAAAACGACTTGTATTTGGAACACTTAAATAATTCTTTTAACTCAATTAAAAGGCCAAATAATTCAATTAAGAATGGGCAAAAGATTAGAACGGACATATCTCCAAAAAAGATATACTAATGGCCACTAAGCACATGAAAAGTTGCTCCGTGTTGTTATTCATTAGGCAAATGCAAATTACAATCACGGTGAGATTCCAATTCACATTCACTTGAATGGCTGTAATCATCAAATTATACTCATAAAATTTTTCCCATAATAAAAATATAAAATTCTATTATATGAATTATCAAATTCACCCAAGGTATTGCCTATTTGCTCTGTATTTACTAAATTATATTTAAAAGTAAAAGAGTATTGCTATTCTGAAAACTATTTCTTTCCACTTTACTTAAGATGGCCAGCTATTAGCAATAATTTACACTACCCACTACAATGATTAATGATAGACTAAAATAAATTAATTTTTGGTCTTAGTTTTATATATGTTGCTTTAATTTTCTATTTATCATAATCCAGAGGATAATTTAAGATCATAACTAGTTTGCAAATAAATAGTTGAAGTGACATACCTTTTTGCTCTGTGTAAAAGCTGCATTGAAAACATTGATGGACAGTATATGGCACACAATAAATATCAATATGTAAACTCAGGTCGTTCTAGAACCCAAATTTCTCTTTATGGAGTTCTGAAAATTTGAAAAACTGACTTACTCATGTACTGGACATCAACTTTTTATAGCACCATGGGATTTTGTGAATTGAAAAATCATTAGACCTGCAAACAGCATTTTGTATTAATCAACTGTCTGCCTTCAGGAAAATAAACTTGCCCCTCTGTCACACACTGTCTACTTTTAGAGGTGTTATTAGGCTTTAACTGTTGAAGTAGAAATGACATTTATGCTTTCACTTCCAGTTCATTCTTATTTGAGTAAATTTCAAATGTCTAATCACAAAAATATTAGGTACTTGAGTGATGGATATGTTAACTATCTTGATTTAATTATGCCACATTGTATTCATAAATATATAACATAATTTTTTACCCCATAACTTTATATAAATTATCAATTTACATTTTTAAAAAGTCTTACTTATTCGTGAAAGTTATAGAGAAGATTTTCATAATTGAATTGTGTGAGTGCATCAGCTGCTTTAGGAAGGTGACATTCTTCTTACATGCTGGAAATGAGAACACATATCTGTGAATAATCATTATGGAATTTCAGCTGATATTGTTGGAAATTCGGGTGAAAAAAAAAATTGAAAGAGATTGCCATATCTGATACAGAAACTGGGCAGCCAAAGTCCTGTTCTTCTAATTGGGTTAGGGGTCAAAATGAAAATAAAGGCAAATGTAAAAACATTATGTGTAATCAGTTAAACATTCAATAAAATAATAGTGATCATAATAGCCACAATTTGTTGAAAGCATGTTCTGCAATAAACCCTTTATTATTTTGTTTAATATGTATAACATCCATGTGAGATGAGTGTTACTGGTAACATACCAACATTTCAGATGAGAAAATAAGAGTCAGAAAAGTTAAGAATTTTTCTTTAATAACACGGATTTAAGAAGTATGGGTGATGGACCGAAGATTTAAAATCACATGCATTTGATTTTAAACCCATAGTTTTATCTACTGTGATGTACACTAAATGATTGTTGCGATACACTTCTTTGCAACTACAAGCAGTTCTCACTTGAATAATGTAATTTCAGTCCTCACTAATACATTGTGAGAGGTCTAGGGAGCGGTAATGTCATTCCCTCCATTTATCTATCTCCCAACTGGTAGGAATTCTCTATTAGCTATTTTCATTATACTGGGGAAAAATGGATAGATGTGAGAGATAGTTTAAGGGAATAGTCAATAGTATTGGAAAATGATTGAATTACGTTGAACAGTGGTTAAGATTTGAAATTAGTTTTGAAAAAGTGAAAAAAAAAACCAATCTAAGAAAGGCTGTGTTTTAGTAATGTGTTTTTAGTGTAAAGTGCTATCAGATGTGCATAAGGAAAATTCCACTTTGTATTTGGAAACATTTGCAGTCTTTAGGATAAGGACCAAGACTAAAGATATGAATAATGTATACAAAATATTAAAGCTTTAGAAATGCGTGATATTAAGGTGAAAAAAATGTTCAGTAATTGTAGGAAATTATTATATAAGAAACGAAAGGAGAAATATGAGTCAGAACAGAAGGAAAAATAAAGTGGAAGTTGAGACCCTGCATAAATGATTTTCTTGATGTAGGTTACTAATTATGATGACAAATGGGCCACTTAATCTGGTTTGTGGTTGGTCCTTTACAAAATATATACATATATATATATATATATATATATATATATATATATATACACACACATACATATACATATATATGTGTGTATGTGTGTGTGTATATATATATATATATATAAAGTGAAATGGTACAAGGAGCCAGATTTCAGAGGATTACAGAATAGGAATGCTGAGGATGATGGCGATGATGAGAACAGCACCTAGCACATTTGAGTATCTACCATATACTTTGCTCACTGCTTAACATACAATATATTATTTAATACAACAACCCTATTAAATATGACAATAACCGTATTTTATATGCAATAAATCAGTCTCAGAGAGAAAAAATACCATGACCCTAGTATGCCTATGGTCTACTTGATCACAGGTCTGACTGTATAATTAATCGTAAATCACATGTGGGCACAGGATTAGTGACTTGATTTATCTAGACGTCTTTGACAGGTATAGGATCTAGAACACAGGGGATAAAGGATGGCTATAAAAAATAATAGCTCACATTTTTGAGTGGGTACTTTGTGTGAGTTACTCTGCTGAGCTCTACAAAAAGATGAATTTATGCAATCTTTATACCAATCCAATGAGGTAAGTATCATTATTAATGGTTCCCTAATCTTACATGGGTGGAATCTAAGGTGGAATGACTAAGTATCTTGCCTATCTCACATAATTTATACCTGGTAGAAGCAGGATTTGATTGTTCAAAGTTACTCTGTGATTGCCTAGACACAAAAACAGAAGAGAAAGAGGAATTAACAGCAATGTTACTACTACTACTGGTGATAGTAATCTGAACATAAGACAAAGGAAATAAATATCAGTGGTAAAGAAATAGAACAGATAAAGTGGGTGAGCTCTATCTTAAATTTCAGATGCATTCCAAAGTATATATGGGAAATTTTCAACTGACCACAGGTTTGATGATGAGAGTAAGGAAGCTGTGGAATAAAAGATAAAGGGAGACTATGGATCTGGTCAATGTATTTGTGATTGGGGCTCATCTGTGTGTGGCAAAATGCCTGGAAAGAAGCTAATATATAAAGATCAACTGATACTACCAAACAGGGAGAGAGAACACTGAAGGAGCTCTGGAGGAGGCACAGGTGGAGAGGCCGGCCCTGAAAAGGAAGGACAGGGCTTGCCTGTAGAATAGGAAGAAAGTAGAAGTAGATAGGTCAAGATAAAGGACTATTTAGCGGCAACTAAATGATAAAAAGGCAGATGCTAAGAAAGTTGAACTATAAAGGAGTTTTTGCCAGGTAGCCTCAATCTACTCAGTAAAATAGGAGGCAAGTCATCTTCTAAAGATGAAAAGATTTGAGTTTGACTAAATAAAACAGCTTTGCGGCAGACAGGTAATACAATGAAGAGTAGACATGAAATAAAAGAATTTCTAAGTAGCACAGAAAGCAGTAACATAATACTTCTTTGCCTAACAATGCAGTTTTATATTCAGAATGAAGAAAAAGAGAGATCTGGGGGACTCAGGAATGGGAATCATTAAGATAGTCTCAGAGAAATCATAAGTGAGCCAAGGATTTGAAAATGCTATGGAGATACAAGTGCCCTGGCATAGCTGACCACGGCATTCTGACAGTGGAGAGCACTAATATAGGTGCCCCTGCTATGTGCTCCTGAAGCATTCTGTTCTTCCCTCATCATTACTTTGCTCACAATGCATTGTAATTACTTATTTAGTGTCTTTTCCCACTTGGCCATAGTGGTCATGGGAACAGGAAATTGTATTCTCTGGCTAATTATTGTATTATCAGCCCATAGCATAATTCAATATCTGGCATAGAATAAGTAATCAGCAAATAGTTTTGACTTCCTTCCCCTCCTCCCCCCATGATTTCAGAAGTGGACTTCTGCAGGAGAAGGACTGCAGAACAAAATGGCCTTTATAAGCCTTATAACATCTTCATAATGTGACACTCAAATATCTAGAAAGCTTCACTTATCAGAATTTGCCTGTCAGAAGTATCTTAGTCCATAGAAATCACATACGGATCTTGTTAAAATACAAGTTGTGATGCAGTTTCGGGGTAAACCCCATGTGTCTGCATTTTTAATAAGCTCCCAAGCAACGCTGATGCTACTTGGTGCATAAGCTATGGCGTATAAAAGACTTACGCAATGGATTCTCCACCTTTGTCAAGTATAGCCAAATACCTGCAAGCCCTGAACTGACTGCTTTAGGCCTCCCAGCATTTGTGATTTTCTGGATCTTGTGCCTTCTGTCTTACTGGCTTTTGATATGCAGGTGGATCTCACTTTAGTAGTTCTTGAATATTCTCAGTCTGGCCTTCTTAGCTGGCTTCAACTGACACTCTTTTTCTTTTTTCTTTTGTTTTGTTATACTTTAAGTTCTAGGGTACATGTGCACAATGTGCAGGTTTGTTACATATGTATACATGTGCCATGTTGGTGGGCTGCACCCATTAACTCATCATTTACATTAGGTATTTCTCCTAATGCTATCCCTCCCCCCTCCCCCCTTCCCCCACCCCACAACAGGCCCCGGTGTGTGATGTTCCCCACCCTGTGTTCAAGTGTTCTCATTGTTCAATTCCCACCTATGAGTGAGAACGTGCAGTGTTTGGTTTTCTGTCCTTGCGATAGTTTGCTCAGAATGATGGTTTCCAGCTTCATCCACGTCCCTACAAAGGACATGAACTCATCCTTTTTTATGGCTGCATAGTATTCCATGGTGTATAGGTGCCACATTTTCTTAATCCAGTCTATCATGGATGGACATTTGGGTTGGTTCCAGGTCTTTGCTATTGTGAATAGTGCCGCGATAAACATATGTGTGCATGTGTCTTTATAGCAGCATGATTTATAATCCTTTGGGTATATACCCGGTAATGGGATGGCTGGGTCAAATGGTATTTCTAGTTCTAGATCCTTGAGGAATCGCCACACTGTCTTCCACAATGGTTGAACTAGTTTACAGTCCCACCAACAGTGTAAAAGTGTTCCTATTTCTCCACAGCCTCGACAGCACCTGTTGTTTCCTGACTTTCTAATAATCGCCATTCTAACCGGTGTGAGATGATATCTCATTGTGGTTTTGATTTGCATTTCTCTGATGGCCAGTGATGATGAGCATTTTCTCATGTGTCTGTTGGCTGCATAAATGTCTTCTTTTGAGAAGTGTCTGTTCATATCCTTCACCCACTTTTTGATGGGGTTGTTTGATTTTTTACTGTAAATTTAAGTTATTTGTAGATTCTGGATATTAGCCCTTTGTCAGATGGATAGATTGCAAAAATTTTATCCCATTCTGTAGGTAACTGGCACCCTTTTTCTAACCTTTTAGACTATCACATGCTTCTGGAACCACTCTTCTGCCTTGATTACCTATTTCTAGATTACCTTACCTTTGCTTATTTCATACATTTAAAATATATGCTGCTGCTCCTATGTGTGGCAATGAGCACTATGCATTAAATGTTGTCTCAATGAATGAAAAAAGCTGAGCAGTTTAACGGCATATGAAAAATTTAGCAAAACACATCATGTTAGGGTATGGCAGCATGAGGACAGTGAGTTAATTAGGCTAGAGTTAGCATAGGAGAGAGAAATTCCAGCATCGGGCATCTCTGGACCATGGAAAGAGGAGTCAGAAATGAGTCAAGGGACTGAGGTCAGAAGATCACAGAAGGAATAAGGAAGAAACTAGAAGCTGTGGGTGCCAAGGTAGCAATAAATTAAAATAAAGAAACCTGGCCTTGTGGGTCAGAGGAGACAAAGCCTGTGCCCATTAGTCCAAGATAGTCCAAGTAACTTGGATCTGGCACATTTGTCTTTATAAGGCAAATGAAGTGAATCTGATTCTGAAGAAAAGATAACTTATCTTCAGTTATACTCATTTCTATAATCAAAGTAGATAGAAATGATCACCCAAGGAACTGTAACTTCAATTATAATATTCGGAGTCAGTGATTGGAGTCCATTCATTAAACAGTTCTTTGCTGAACCTCCGCTGTGTGCCAGGCACTAAGTGTATCTAGAGAAAAAAGGAAGGCATGGGTTTTGCCTTTAAAAAGTTCAAAGTTTAAAGGGGTACTCAAATGTGTGCACAAAGTCATGTGTTTTACCAGAGATATACCCATGGCCTAAGAGAGAAGAGGTGAGGCCTTTTCTTCTTCTAGAAAGATCAGAGAAGGCTTCACTGGGCAGTTGACACTTGAATGAGTCTTGAAAGAAAATTTATTAAATACAAAAAAATGCAATCACAGGAAAAAAAATGATCCCAGATATATTGTTGCAAGGGAGTATGAACTAATTGGAAGACTAGTTAATTTAGTAATAGGGCTGAAACAGTGCTTATCAGGAAGTGTCAGGAAATACAATTAATAAAATAAAAGGGTAGAAATGTTTAAAGACTTTGCCATGGTAAGAAATTTGGATTTTTGTGCTATTATATAGCACAAAATATATATAGGGCTTTACTCTAACAAAGCAGTTAACTAGGGATTTCGCCTTTATACATGTTTTTCCAATACTGATTGCTTCTTATTGTGGAATACATATCTTTGAGATTGTGGTCTGACTTCTTTTGGGAGAATAGAAGAGAAAGGCACAAGTGCAAGAGCTAAAGCCCTTCTCCCTTATCACTACTGGTTTTCTAGTTGTAGAAATAGTAATACATCTGGAAAAGATGTTATAAAAGGAAAGGCTAAAAAATTTGAAATTTGTACTCTAGGGAAGATGCAAACATAAACCTTCTTGGATACCTAAAGCTTCAAACCCAGAAGAGATCAGACTTCTGCAGAGTTCAAAGAACAACAGCAGGAATAAACTATAGCAATTGTAAAAAGCAAAACATGGGTTTATGAAAACAAAGGTTTTTTGTTTTTATTTTTCATTAGAGTTCACTAAAAATAAACAGGTTGTGAAGTAGTGAGTTTTCTGTCATTGAAGATATTGAGATTGCAGTATGTTTGCATGATCTGGTGACCTTGGGAAATGAACTAAACTACTACTAATTATTCCTATAAATCAAATTTTATGATTTTTCTATTTCTTTTGTGGTTATCTATACCTGTACTGGGCCCATAGCATATGCTCAAAAAATACTGAGCATTTGATTGCTAATTGCTAAAGATAACATTAACTCTGACCTAATCCTTTTATGCACTATCTCCAGAACTTAATCATTATGTGGAATATATTTATAGAGCAAATTCCACTACTTAAACACTATTGAGACTTTGAGCTGCTGAGATCACAAAAGGAAAGTGTAAAGAAGAGAAGCTCCTAAATTATAGATCAGATAGTGTGGCCCTTTTAAAGGCCTATTTCTTGATGCTAGGGATATTTTGGCCTTACTCCACAGAGTCAATTATAATCAAATATTTTGTATTAGTCTCCCATTGCTGCTATAATAAATTACCACAAATTTAATGGCTTAAAATAACACAACTATAGCCTCTTACAGTTCTGGATCCGAATTTCCCTGAGCTGAAACTAAAGTGTCAGCAGGGCTGAATTCCCTCTAGAGGCTTTAAGGGAGAAGGCACTTCCTTCCTTTTCCAGCTTTTAAAGCGGCATTCCTCGGCTCATGGCCCATCCCATATTTAAAATGACAATAAAGTGGCATCTTCAAATTTTTCTATGTATCGTTCCTCACCTTGCATTCTACACTTTATAGTAAAATTATCATTTGCCTCACTCTTATAAGGACCCTTGTGATTACCATTAGAATTCACCCAGCTAATCCAGAATGATCATCCTATCTCAACATTCTTAATTTAATCACACTTGTCGTGTCTCTATTTGCCATATAGAGTAACATTTACAGGTTCCAATGATTAGTAAGGATGTTTTGGGGAGTCATTATTCAGCCTAACACAGCTTTTACAAAACCAGAATGGTTTCACACCACTATAACATTGAAAAATCATAAGTTGAACCATTGTAAGTCAGGGACTACCTATATCTATCAAAAACTGCCTTTTCCTACATATTAAGCTACTTTCCTATATCCTTTTAGTTTCTACTTATTCTAGCTGAATCTCTGAATCTACTTCTACCCAATTAGAGTTTATAATTTGAAAGTTTTCCTCAGCAGATTTTTAAAAAATTTTATTTATCTACTTTATATTCTTTCCTTAAAATTATTTTTAGCTCAAATGTGAGAAGCTACTTGCAGCTTAATCAATTTAGCAATTTCTTTTTAAAAAAATTGGTTTCTAACAAATTTTGAGTGAAGGTATTCAAACAAAAAAAGCTACAAAATGTGTTATTATCTAATAATATTGTAAAACTTATCATTGGTCCATAAGAATATTTGAAAATCTGGTATTTGTATTTTAATGACATCAAGTCAGAGAACTAGATGTCAGTGCCTTGGTCATATATTATATGGAAATACTCAAAGCTAACTGCTATAGTTTAAGTCAGAATTGCCAAAATACAAACTATTTGCCAGTTAACTACAGATAAATTCCCCAGATGAGCACTGCAGTGACCTAATTATGCCAGACAAGAATGTGTAGCCAAGGTTTTTTTTTTTCTTGTGTTACACTTTTAAGTCTTCATGATCAGTGACAGATTATCTGACACAAGGTCACTCTGCTCCCATAGTATTAGCTTTATCTAGTCATCTCCCCATTCTCTCCCTGCCATTTGCCATCTAACATGACTAGACAAAGATTTTCCTGTACTTCATGAGTTTTCTAAGAAGTGTTTCCCAAGCCTGGCCATGAATCAGAATTATTGTAGAAACATCTTTATAAATACATTCTTTTGCGAATAGGTTTTCAGACCTCATCTTAGATGTGCGATCATTAGAAGTGAGGCCCTGGCACTTTCATTTTTCACAATGGTCCCTGTGATACTCTGGTTTATTAGAACAACTGAATGCTGTTTGATCTAGGTCTGAACTGAAAAACAGTCCTTTCTTAGACTTTCAAACATTCTATAAATAGTCTCTACAATACTGTGGAAGTTATAGGGTTTTTGGAAGTACTTTATAGTCTTCCTCTAGCTCATTGTAATATATTTAGGTTTTTTGAGTGTACTCTCAAAAGTTCATGTGTTCCAATTTTAAAACTTTATTGTTTTAAACACAATGTTTCACATAACAGCCTTCACAACTTACGTCTTATAAATACCCATATCTGCCTCTCTTGGCCTGTTTAAAAATTTTCTTCGATTCTGATATTCCATTTTCCCTCCCTCCCTCTCTCCCTCTCTCCCTCTTTCTCTCTTTCTGTTTCTCTCTTTCTCTCTTTCTTTCTTTCCTGTCTTTCTCTCTTTCTCTCTCTTTCTTTTTTGTCTCGCTCTGTTGCCAGGCTGGAGTGCAGTGGTGCAATCTCAGCTCACTGCAACCTCCGCCTCCCGGGTTCAAGCAATTCTCCTTCCTCAGCCTCCCAAGTAGCTGGGATTACAGGCATGTGCCACCACGCCCAACTAATTTTTGTATTTTTAGTAGAGACGAGTTTCACCAGGTTGGCCAGGATGCTCTTGGTCTCTTGACTTCGTGATCCACCCGCCTTGGCCTCCCAAAGTGCTGGGATTACAGGAGTGAGCCACCGTGCCCCACCTGATATTCCATTTTTATATGGTATATTTTAACTCTAGTTGCAAAGTATTCTTGAATTTCAAAGTCCCCCTTCTAATATTAAAAATTACATTTCATTATTCAACATCGGTAAGTCTTAGAGACATCTAGTTGTTTATAGTACAGATGCTCCTCAACTTATGATGGAGTTATATTACAATAAACTTATCATGAGTTGAAAATATAGTAATTCAAAAATGCATTTAATAGACTTAACTTATTGCACAGCATACTGTTGCCTAGCACTAGCCTATCCTAAACATGCTCAGAACACTTCCATTAGCCCACAGCTTGGCAAAATCATCAAACGCAAAGCCTATTTTATAATAAAGTGTTGAATATTTCTTGTACTTTATTGAATACTATGCTGAAAGTGAAAAACAGAATGGTTTCACACCACTATAACATTGAAAAATCACAAGTTGAACCATTGTAAGTCAGGGACTGCCTAGGTCTATCAAAAACTGCATTTTCCTACATGTTAAGCTACTTTCCTATATCCCTTTAGTTTCCACTTATTCCAGCTGAATCTCTGAACTGTAATTTTATTGCTTTTTCCTCTAACTTATCTTCATAACTCAATTTTCTACAGGCTTATACATTTGAGTTTCTTTAATCCCAGCATGTCTGCTGTCAGTGTAAAATTTCTTAATCTCAAAGACAGAATCTGAGGTCTAACCTTCCTAGAGTTTAGATGCAGGATAATCACCTTTATGACAAGTACAAATACCACTGCACATCTTGACAGCCATCTCAGAGCAATCTAATTCCCTTGCTGCTCTAACCTGAAGACTACTTCTGTGTTGTTGGTTCACAATACATATTTTTTTTGAAGGAAGTAATAGTGTTTGTTCAGAAGCTAGCCTTCCATGTAATAATTAGACAGCGTTTTCTTAAAGTAAACATTTGGCGGTTCGGCATCCATTTCAATTTTTATTTCTTTTTAAGATAAAATTAAGAAAAAAGGCAAAACAAAAAATATTCACTTTTTTCACATTTTTATGGCTTGTGTGAGGTGTAGATGCTTAGTTACAAGGAATGATGGGGGCCATTGAGGTTATAAATTATTAGCAAAGCTGGAGGAATCAGGAAGGATTGCTATTTAGCAACAAAAAGGTATGGGGTTGGGTCAAAGGAGCAAAATGTTTAGCAGCGTTTCATCTGCATATTTTGATTGTTGATATAGTCTTTTTCAATGGAGCTATTATTTAGTCAGTATACTCCTCCAATTGTAGCTAACACTGAAAGCGTATCAAGATATCCAGCCTCTCCAGTTTAACTATACAGATCACCATAGCCATTTCATACTGTCATTCAACCAGACCTTATCATAATTTCTATGTCCTTAAAATATGAAGGAAAGTATAAAACATTACTTTTGGAGGCTATTTTAACTGTATAATGTCAAAAGAAATGTACAACACAATTATCACTGGGGTTACTGAAGCTCTGATAGTTTCTCTATGTACACTAGTTAAACAACAGCATTGACTGAGGCATTGACTATACAGAACAATTTAGTAAAAGATAAGAAGAACTAGAGCTAAATCAAAGCAAACTTGCTTGCCCTCTGTGAACTGACAAGGTACTCAGAGTCTAAATCCATCCCGATAACCTACACTAAAGTAACCTAACATATAGTATAATCTAAACTACAATATAGTCAGAGTCTAAAACTCATCCCTATAACCTATATTAAAAACTAAACTCTATGCCTTTAAGAATGATTCTCACTAAAACAACTACAATGTATGCTTGCCTAACAACATCTACAATTTTAGAACCAAAATGAATGTATAAAATCATGGTTTAACAGAAAACCAGGGTCAAGTCTTTTCCAGAGTCACAAATCTAGTCCTCAAAAGTCATACATCTTTGAAATCATGTCCTCTGGGGACCAGTATAATGTACTGTTTAAAAAGGCAAATGTTTAGATTGGTCAGGCATAGGGTCAGATTCTGTCTAAAGATACTTATTTCTTAAAATTATAAGGCAGCATTAATGTCAGTAGGTTACTGACATGTCCAGAAAGCTGAAAATGTGAGGGCTTCTGTTTTTAAACACTCTAGAGTATTAACCTGAGTGTTACAACCATTTTTAGTTCAGTTTTATGCCTATGAGAAGCCACTGACATAGACACAATTTTCATCATCTTGGTTTACTGGTTTTATTACTGGTCCTGTCCAAACAAATGGAGTGGTGTCATTCTGTCAATTGTCATCCAGCCAGTAATAATTTCATTACAGATGAGTTTTTTATGAACATGTCTAAGTAAGAGCTCTTTTATTTTTCCAAGGAATATCTCATGAACATCTTGTTATGTCCTTTTTCTGTTTTCAAATTGGGAAATTCAAACTCCATGCACTTAAGCTGTTCCATTGCAAAATATTGTCTTTATGTAAATAATATTTTTAAACAAAAAAGTACATTCCCATGAAAATTCAAGCAATCAATGGTTGTAGGTTTCAAAATGAGAAATGCCAGTTTTCAGCCCACCCTTCCACACCGGCCACCTCAAGTTCAGAAGCAAATGTTTGCAAGTATGCATATTTTTATTTCTCATTGTGAGTTTTCAACACTAATATGCTATTTTTCTCTTTCAACAATTAACTCTTGTTCTAAAATATGAAGATTTGGCTCATTATACTTCATTTTACTTACTTTTTCCCTCAATTTCTGAGAGATACTGCTATTTTCAGTTCCTCCATTGCTAACATTGATAAACCGAAATAATAGATTAATGATTACATTTATTTTCTAAAAACTATGATATATTTATTTAAGATAACAGTCTCTCTATACTTTTCAGTAACTGCTCCTCCACACTTTGATCTCTTAATTTGTAAATAAACCTCTCTTTTTATGTTTTCAAGAATGATGCACACATTTTCTTTCATAAGCATGACTATGTATACTTTCCTTTGATTGACTGATTCTAACACTTAAAAATCAACAAACAAAAGCTGCATTAATATGACTACATAAATATTAATCATTAGAACTGAAAGGTTCCTAGGATTATGTTTCCTTTTCTCAGAGTCTAATGTCATGAACCCAACAACAATGGAAAGAAAAGATTCCTTGGCTTAAAAGCAAATAGATTATCTTTTCTACATTCTACTAGCTCAAATTCATGCCCTATTTGTTTTGATATACATTGACATCATTACTTTTCTGTGCATTTTTTCATCTCTTTCTAGTGGTCTTTATTTCTTCTTGTTGACAAAATGCGGGATGGTTTTCATCATATTTTCAAAGTTATTCTCTTCAATCACAGTCATTTGGCAAAGAACTCCCTCTTTCTTTCTCTTCTCTTGATCAACTAGGGATTATTTATTCTCCTGGCAGCTGCATAGTTGTAATTCTTTGAGTTCTGTTTATTCCACTTCTGAAGCAGGGCTATTAATTCCTGAAATTAGATTTTCTTTTCTTCCTACTTCACGAGCTTTCTGGAGCACTTTCTCAAATTTCTTCCTCAGAAAACATATATGGGTGATTAATTTTCTGATTCCTTATTTATCCTTAATTTTATCTTTATACTTTATTGACAAATTTAGGTTTAATATTGTTTCCTTAAAGTACTGAAGACCTCACATGTACCCCATAAGTATATACACTTATAATGTACCCATAAAAATTGCATTTTTTACAAAATAAAAAAATAAAAGTTAATGTAAAATTTTGAAGACAACTCTCATTGCATTCTAATTATCGTAGGTGAGGAATTCTATCCTTTTTTAATGTAATTTTTCCTTTATGAGTATTGTTTTTGTTCGTTAATCTTCATTATTTGAAAATCTTATAATGGGTATAGATAAGATTTTTAGATTGACTGCATGTAAAAATCCATAACTTCTTTAGGTTTTATAAATATTATTCATAATGTTTCTGCCTTTTCTTACCTCCTATTTTGTTTGTTTCTTTGTTCTTTTCTTCTTTTTCTTTTTTTTTTGAGACGGAGTCTCGCTCTGTCACCCAGGCTGGAGTGCAGTGACATGATTTGGCTCAGTGCAAGCTCCTCCTCCCAGGTTCATGCATTCTCCTGCCTCAGCCTCCTGGGTAGCTGGGACTACAGGTGTCCACCACCACGCCTGGCTGATTTTTGTATTTTTAGTAGAGACAGGGTTTCACTGTGTTAGCCAGGATGGTCTCAAACTCCTGACCTCATGATCCGCCCACCTTGGCCTCCCAAAGTGCTGGGATTATAGGCATGACCTGCCAGGCCTGGCCTCTTTTCTTTTTTCTGGAAATGCTATTGTTATAATTTTAAGGTACTGAGGATTAATTATTTGTTACTTTGTTCTGTGTTCTGTGAAATTTTTTAGACTTTGGCTTTCAATCCATCGCTTAATTTTTTTTAAATGGAAATCTTTTTTTATTTTTCTTAACTATTTTATATGATATATATTTTTTCATAGCTTACTAATTTTTTTATGGTTGTACCACTTTCTTTAATTTCTCCAGGGCTAAAAATTAGAGTTTTGTTTGGTTTTGTTTAATTTCTCCTGTGCTTTAAATTTTGTGTTCTCCAGAACAGTTTGCTTTAATTATTTTTTTAGTCTGCTGAGGTTTTCTTTTTCTTTTTCCTTTTTTTTTTTTTTTGCCTGTGTTTATTAAATTGCTTTTATCTTCAAAAAGGTAAGTTTACCTAGGAAGTGTTGTTTATGATTTCTTTGTTGTGGTCTATCTAGGTAGTTCCCTTTCTTGGAAGGCCTTTCTTCTAAATGAAATGGCTAAGTGACTCCCCTATCCACATGAGATGAGCTCCTTGGAAATGAGGCCTACTGTACTGGGGATAGGAAGCCAGCTGGAAGGATGTCGCCTATCATCTCAGGAACAACATACAGAGTACTTTACTTTGTGATGTCAACATCCACCATCTTTTAGTTTCCCCCAAGGCATTATTTTCATATTTAATAGAATGTTTTATTGTAAGGTAAATTCCAGTATGCATGCAGAAAGGGGTATTGGAATAATGAGTTACTAGCACAGCTACTCTAGAGACAAATCTTCAGCTACTTCTGTTTTAAGCCACATTTCTATACTTATACCCTTGAAAAGAGCTGACTCCAAATCC
The DNA here is from genome assembly GCF_000001405.40 of Homo sapiens. Taxonomy (NCBI): domain Eukaryota; kingdom Metazoa; phylum Chordata; class Mammalia; order Primates; family Hominidae; genus Homo; species Homo sapiens. The sequence goes on from NC_000010.11 coordinate 56,789,848, forward strand.
GCATTATGTATAAAGTTCCATGGGAAGATAACCTGTCATGAAACATCTTCATGCATGCTTTCAGTTCTCTTTCATCTATCAACATGCATTCATAGACTTTTTGCTTTCTAGTAATCTCATTTATATATTTTACCCCCCCCGGACCCCCTTTTATTTTTCTTATTGATACAAGTGTTATCACTTATTTACATTTTTAAACATTCCACTTAAATTGTGAGTATATATGGTCACCCTCCAAATTAAAACAAAATCCTAAAGACCTATGTATATCCAATTTTCATTAGTTAGCATGGACCCATTTCCTTGGATAAACAAAGCAAATTGACCTAACTATGATAAGGCTAAGGATGCTGTCAGCATATGTAAATGGGCTATGAATCATGTGTTTGAGGTAGCACTGCAAGCTGAATTGACTGTCATAGCTCATTCATGTATTCATTCACTCAACAAATATTTATGCCAGACACTACTATATGTGAGACAGTATTCAAAGTATCAAAGTTAGAGCAGAGAACAAAACATACAGAAATTAAAGTGTAAGCTAATATTTTCATTTGAGTGACTTGGGATAACATACTTTAGATACCAAAATATTTTGAAATGGAATGTAGCAAAATTGAAAAGGGATTATATGACATTCTTTCATCTATGCAAAGAGTGTATTTGGCAGGGAGGAATAAGTTATTAGGGCAGGTTTTATCTATATATCTATATTTTATAGCTATATCTTTTTTCTAAAGTGATGTTATTATATAATACATGTGAATTATGTAAGACGTCACATGAAATACAGCATTTAATGATGGACTTCCTTTTTGTCCCACTAGATGAAGTAACTTTTTAAACATGTATGCAGCAGACAAAGACCTTTAAAAAAAATGCAAGGTTTAGATTAACTCTAATAAGCTTTTCTCAAGGCAAGCTTTCATAAACTAATCCAGCCTCTCAGATCCTCCCTATAAAATGTACTAATATTCAGACTAATTTACTGTTCTACATTAGAGAGACAGTAAATATAACAAGTAAATAAAGGAGAGCTTGCCTTTGAAGTTAGATAGCCATGCGCACATATTCTCAATCTTCTATTTGCTAGCTATGGAAACTAAGGCAACTTCCATAACTTTTCTAAGCTTGGATTAATTTATAAAATTAAATTTTAAAACTATTTAACTCAATGTTTGCAGAGACAATTCAATTATATAATGAAAGGCAAATCTAGACATATTCTAAATGCTCAATTAATGTTATTCATCAGTATTTTTCTTTTATTATTAACATCTCTTCTACCAAATTTTTCTAAAGAATATACTTGTTTCAACAAACTCATTTTTCTGTCTGCAAAGAGTAATTATTCTTATCACCTAAAAACTCAATTTTAGCTTCCAACATTCTTTAGTTTATTAAAAAGAAAGATTTAATTTCAAAGCCTAATTCTGTTGAATTCTATCACACATTGACAGATTTCCTATACTAGTCTGAATGTTCATAAATTGGATTTACTTATTTTGTCTCCTATTCAGCTACAAGGAAATATCCAGAATTTCTTATTTACAAAGAATCAGGTTCATTCTAACTGGGGATATTTCATGGATTCAATGTGCTCATCAGCCAACATGCTCTTAAGTAAGCCAAATAAGGTATTCTTAACTCCACATTGTAATTGAAACCTTTGGAATCCAGTTAAGATAAAAAAAAAAAAACCTCTTGTGTGGCAGAGGTAGAATGACAAAAACTCTGTGTCAGACAGCATAAGAAATAGTCAAAGCAAAGAGAACATGTGTCAGTTAGGATAGACTAGGCCATTTTGTGATAACATAAGCTCCCAAATCTTCTTGACTTACGGTAACAAAGGCTGGTTTCTGGCACATGTGACAAGTCTGTAACAGATTGGCCATGACTCTACTTCACTATGAGACCGAAGCATTCAGCCCAGCTTTTAAGCATTAATGGTCATGATGGCATAAAGAAACAGAACATAGAAACACATATGGGCTCTTAAAGTTTCTAACAAGATTGACAGCCTCTTGCCTCTTTCATTCATAATTTATTGGTTCAAGCAAGGAACATAGTCAAGCCTAATGTCAATAGGGTAGTGAATACATGTAAATGATCCTATCTACTACACTGAACATACTACCAGTAATATCATATGGATATATCACTCTTCATTATATATCTTGTATGTTCTATACACATTACTTCATTTCATCCTTATATTAATCCTGTGAAGACAAAGTATATGTCATTATCTCCATTTAATATGCTTAAAAGCTGAGTTAAAAAAATGTGGAGTCTGGGAAGATGACAGAGTAGAGAGCACTTGGAATCCATCTCCCCTCTAAAACAACAGTCGTACTGGAAGAATTCGATGTGACTATTTCGATAAACTTTTTAGTCAGTTGGAAGCTTGCCACTTTGAGAGGAAGGCTTGGTTGGTAAATTGCAGTACTTTCAGTCAATTTCAGCTTTCAGCTCAGCAGCAGCTACCCATTCCTTACCCCAGTCCAAAGGCAGGCACATATTCCTGATGCAGCTTGCATGAAGATTGCAGAAACCAGGGTGGGTAATAAACACCCTGTCCTCCAATATCTGGATCTGTAGTCTGATAAATGATGGCATTTATAATCATGGAAGTACAGAAACAAAAGAGAGTAGACACTGTTGCATACCCACATTATTGCAAGCCACTACCCATCCAATGGAAGTGGATTTCAGGGCATTTAAATGGCTAGTACCCTTCCCCGCTTTATTTTTCTCTTTTTCTCCTTTTGTGAAGCTCTACATTAAATACCACAATATTCAAAAGCAACAACATGCATTGGAGAAATTAGAAACTCACTGTGTGTGACCAGGGAAAGATGCAGGCTCAGAAAAAAAAATAAGAACTAAGTTCACAACTCAGCCTGACCCTCAGCATGAAGACAGCCTACAAAAATTAAATCAAAACAAAAGCGTAAAACAGCAAACCCTGATAAAAAAGAAGAATGTGACTTCCATAGCTGCCACATTATTACATTCACATGTCAAGTTTTCAATAACAACAAAATCACAATGAATAAAAAGAGATAGGGAAATATGGTCCTTTTAAAGGAAAAAAGTAAGCTAACATAACTGTCCCTGAGAAAGGCCAGATGGCAAATATAGACAAAGACTTTAAAACAGTTATCTTAAAGATGCTCAAAGAGCTAAAAAAATGATGTGAAGAAAGTCAATAAAATGATGAATGAACAAAATGAAAGATCAATAAAAAGAAAAGCAACAATGAAATAAAAAAGAAATTTAGAGCTGAAAATTATAATTGCCAAAATAAAAAAATCCTTAGAGGTATTCAAAGAGAGTTGTAAACAGGCAGAAGAAAAACATCAATTAATTGAAGATAGAACAATTGAAATTATCTTTATGAGAAACAGAAAAGAGCAAACAGAACCTGAGGGATCTCCGGGACATCATCAAGTAGACCAACATACACAATGGAAATCTCAGAAGGAGAAGAAAGAAAGAGACAGAGGGAATATTTAAAGAAAATACAGTTGAAAACTTCTCAAATTTGATTAATGATATGAATATAAAATCCAAGAGGAGGCTCAACAAAACCCAAGTAGGATGTCCTAAAAAATAGTCACACTGAGACACATTATAATCAAACAGTCAAAAGCCAAAGAAAGAATTGTAAAAGAACAAGAGAGAAATGACTTGTCACATACAAGAGATTCTAAGTAAGACTGACATCAGATTCCTCATCAAAAACTTCGGAGGCCAGAAGGGAGTGGGCTAAAATATTCAAAGTGTTAAAAGGAAAAACAGAAACAAAAAAATTGTCAACCAAGAATCTTGTAACCACCAAAACTCTTTTAAAAATACATACAAAAAAATAAGATATTCCCAGACAAAGCTGAGGGTCTATTTTGTTTCCACTAGACCTTCCTTGCAAGAAATCTTGAGTCATGTAGTATCTTGAGTCATGTAGAAAACATAAAGTTATGTACCATTCTTACAATAATACCAACTCAATTTTACAAATACCTATCTATGTATTTGTAAAATTTGTAAAATTTGTAAAAGATATTACTTTTACTAATATCTTTAATTCTTCATGTAGCTTCAAGTTCTATCTAGTGTCCTGTCATTTCAAACTCTATAATTTCTTGCATTTAAAATATCAATGCATTTAAAAACAATATTACTTTATGTTTTTTATAAACAGAATAACAGAGATGTAATTTTGTGATAGCAATAACTGAAAGGAGTGGCAACATAGCTTTAAATGAGCTGAGTTGTTGTATGTAATTGTAGTTAAGTTGGTATAAATACAAATTAAAGTGTTGGGGCTGGGCGCGATGGCTCACACCTGTAATCCCAGCACTTTGGGAGGCCGAGGCAGGCATATCACAAGGTCAGGAGATCGAGACCATCCATCTAACACAGTGAAACCCTGTCTCTACTAAAAATACAAAAAATTAGCTGGATGTTGTGGAGGGCACCTGTAGTCCCAGCTACTCAGGAGGCTGAGGCAGAAGAACGGCATGATCCCGGGAGGTGGAGCTTGCAGTGAGCCAAGATAGCACCACTGCACTCCAGCCTGGGCAACAGAGCAAGACTCCATCTCAAAAAAAAAAAAAAAAAAAGCATTATAACTTTACAATATTATATGCAATATCCATGGCAATCACAAAAACATATTTACAGAACATACAAAAAATAAATTAAGAAAGGAATTAAAATATTTCACTATAAAAAATTAACTAAGTATGCAAAAGACAGAAATGCAAAAAATGAGGGAAAAGAAAAGCTGTAAGACACATAGAAAACAAATAGCAAAATGACAGACATCTTTTTTTTGACATTGTAAGTAAGTCACTTTAATTTTTTAATTTTTAGTTGACATGCAAGAATTGTACATAATTATGTGGTCCAGAGTAATATGTGTATACATGTGTACAACATGTAATGACAATTAACTTATTACCTGGAACATTTATCATTTTGTGTTACAAATATTAAAAATCCTCTCTTCTAACTTCTTAAACATATACACTAAATTATTGTCAGCTATGTTTACCCTATGGTGCTACAGAACACTAAAATTTATTCCTGCCAACTAGCTACAAATTTGTAGCCATTAACTAACCTCTCCCTATCATCCCCTCCCTCCACCATTTCCAGTCTCTAATAACCACAATTATACTTTCTACTTCTATGAGCTCAATTTATCTTTTTATCTCCCATATATAAGTGAGAAAATGTAGTACTTGTTTCTGTTCTGCATGAAGTTCTTCTTTTCCAGTAATTTCTTTAAATGTAAATGGATTAAATTATCTGATATGGTTTGAATATTTGTCCCCTCCAAATCTCATGCTGAGATGTGATCCCCAGTGTTGGACATGGGGCTTCATGGGAGGTGTTTGGGTCATGGACGTGTATCCCTCATGCATGGGTTGATGCCCTCCCTTCAGTAGTGAGTGTGATCTCCCTCTATTAGTTCACACAATATTTGGTTGTTTAAAAGAGCATGACACCTCTTTTGCCTCTCTCCTGCTCACTCCCATGCCAGCTCCCCTTGCCTCTAGCTATGAATAAAAGCCTCATCGGGCCTCACCAGAAACCAAGCAGAAGTTGGTGCCATGCTTCTTGTAAAGCCTACAGAACTAAGAGTCAAATAAAACTATTTTCTTTGTAAAATACTCAAGCTTACCTATTCCTTTACAGAAATGCAAAAACTAATACACTCCTTCTGAAAAGACAGAGATTAGAAATATGGATTTTAAAAAATGAGCCATCTGTATGCTATCTACAAGAGAATTATTGATATCCAAAGACTTAATTTCAATATGACACCAAAGGCATGGGCAATGAAAGAAAAAATAAACAATTTAAATCTTATGAAAATTAAAATCCACATTAAAAGACACTATCAACAGAGGAAAAAGGCAACCTACAAAATAGGAGAAAATATTTGCAACCCATGTGTCTGAATGAGGATTGAGAACATATAAAGAACCCCTGCAATGCAACAATACAAAAAGCAAACATTTATTCAAAAATGGGCAAAGAACTTGAACAGATATTTCTCCAAAGAAGATATACGAATGGCCAATAAGCACATGAAACGATGCTCAACATCACTAATTGCTGGGGAATTTCAGATCAAAACCACAATGAGCTACCACATCTCAACAATTAGGATGATTATTATATTTAAAAATAAATGGGAAAAAAACAAGTGTTGATGAGAATATGGACAATTGGAACCCTGTGCAATGAACTCTTCCAAAGTAAAATAGCTAGCAAGAGGCTAGTAAAGGGTAAAATGTTTTCCTCCTCCAAATGACCAGGTTTGGATCATACTCCTGAAAGACAGCCTTGGATGCCATAATCCCAAATGTTGAAATCTCAAAATATTAAAGTCTTTAAAATCTAAATTTCTAATGTCCACAGTTCCAAAATCACAACCACAGGAGAGTTGTATCATGTTAGGGGAGAAATATTACTTTTTTATTGCCTTTTGAAATTAAATATGGTTTAAGGACTTGTGTATTCGTGCCAAGTTGACCAGGGGTAAGCTTGTGAACTTAATTTTAGATGTCAATTTAATTGGATTAAGAAAAACTTAGAAACCTGGTAAAGCAATATTTTGGGTGTGTTTTCTGGACTATTTCCCCACAATTGCCCATAATCTGTCTTTATAATACACTTTTTTATGTCAAATTTTCTTTTTCATTTTTTTCTTTTCCTTTTCTTTAGATGTTTTCTACTATTTAAATTGTCTGTATTATTTTTCACAATGTGTTATGCTATGTATTTCGCCTTCACATCATACTGAAGGGACAAATTATGTAAAGACTTTTAGAGAGTTCTAATTAGTTTCATTCCTTTTTTTTTTTTTTGCAAATTTGACTCCTCAAAATATATTATCAAAACATTGACTTTGTGTTTAAGCCTTGTGTATGTATGTAAAAACATTGAAACTTCTTCAGTTAATAAAGAGATGTCTTCTTTTGTACATCTACATTTGTGAAAAATATAATTTTTCAAGATCTTAGCTTTTTTGGTGACTGCAAATGGAGTGGTGATCCATTGCAGTTTTTGATAGACACTGTTAAAAGACTTAGGTTGTTCCTCACAGTGTTTCAGATAACCAGAGTTATAGAGCTGAGTACACATAATTACTAACCATAGTGATATGCATTTATACACTTTCCTTTTTAGACTATTTCTTTATTACTATGGTTTGTCTGCTCATAACTGTTATACCCGTGTGTCTCTCACTTGCATACCTGATTGTTTTATGTTTGCAAAAAATATGTGTGTTATTATTACTGATTTTATTGGGTAAAGTGGCCTATGAATTGTTCCATTGTGTTTTTACATGTTTCTTAAATAAATTCACTTTTTAAATGTAAGTAAATATATTTTTAAAAATTATTATTATTGTTTTCACAATTATATTTTGGAGATTTTGATCCTTTGGAATTTTTTTGGAAGGATAAAGTCCCCCCGTAATCACATAATTAGGAAAGGGAAACCAGAGTTCACTATGAATGAATCACCTAGTGTTCAGATTATATTGCTGTGAATTCCAAATCTTGGGTAAAGTTCTACCACGTATAATTTCTCAAAAAGTACATCTGTTTTCTCAGTGGTTATAATATTATGTATTTTATTGCTGTATTGCTTCAAAATTTCCAGATAATCTGAGGACTGCTGCACTGTGATTTTGAGTAAAATAGAAGTATGTGGGCAGTAGCATTTTTACACATGCCCTGAAAAAGTGGTTTGGATGAATCTTTTGGGCTGCATAATTAGATAAATGTACCAATAGAAATGAGAAAGTAAGTAATTCTTCTATCACTACTTAAACAAAAGGCTTTTCTTGAGCAGAAAAGCTCTACTGAAATCTTGCATCCTAACTATATATGCTTGGAACAATGTGATAAAGAAACAGTTAATATACTCAAGACTCTCCTTCTTTGCCCCTTTCTCCCATGAGTTTTATAGTTTCACCAACACTGATTCTACTATGCTATAATTCTAACCTGATTATTCGATGAGTAAACAGGTTTGAATTATAACACTGTAGAACAACAGACTGCATTCTTTACTGTTTATCAAATTAAAATGTAATACTAGGAAAAACACAAGGATTTTTTATCATAAATTTTAATTATTAAAGCTTTTGTACTTGAAAAAGAAAAACCTTAAGCAATTTAGCCCACTTAATCCCCAATTAATATAACTAAGCATACAGTTCAAAGAGTGGTATGAATTTACCTTCCATAAACTTATTCACCTTGTTCCTTTTTGTTTATGTAAGAAACTAGATGCCAAATATTTTTGTAAATAAGAAAAAATCCTAAATTATCAGTCATACCTTCTTAAACAGAAATTCAGCACTTTAGAAACTCAAAATCTGAGAGGTGCTCAGGCATATCTGAGTGTAACTTATGACATAATTAGCACCAGAATGTCAACAAAATAAATCCTGCTTCTTAGCCAGTTCCTTCATAAATCACTTGCTTCTAAGGTAATTATACTTAAATCCAAACTTGTGAAATGCTTTTTAATTTTGCCTCTTTAGAAGTCAAAAATTACAAATGGCATCAGAAGTCTATGCCAGTACTTTCCCCAAATTATCCTCCACTGATGTGAACTTTAATGTGACTAGGGACAGAGTTTAGGTATGGCCCTACCAATATCTTCCTCAGAGGAATTATCATCCCATTGTAAAAATATTCATTAGGAACCATATGCATCTATCATTATAATTCTGCAGAGTTCAATGCTCCAAGAAACTAGTTCTGAATCCCAGAATTGTGCTTCTCTTAATGAAGCAACTGCTGAGGGGCACAAATCCAGTGGGATACCTCTATTAACAAAAATAGAAGTTTAAAAAAATTGCCTCTATGACTGTAATCACTGCTTGCAAGGTTCTACAACTGATTATTATTTCATGAGGTTTAAAATTTGATTTTATCATATTTGACAGAACCAAGTTAAACCATTTTTTCTTCTTTTTAGAAACATTTTATTGATATATAATGATTGTGCCTATTTGGGGAGTATGTGTGATATTCTGATACATTTATACAATGCCTAATGATCAAATCAGGGTAATTGTGATATCTGTTACCTCAAATATTTACTTTTTCTTATGTTAGGAACATTCCAATTATTCTCTTCTAGCTATTTTTAACTATGCAGTAAATTATCGTTAACTATAATCCCCCTATTGTGCTATCGACCAATAACACCTACCTATTCCATCTAACAGTATTTGTGTATCCTTTAACCAACTTCTCTTTATTCTCCCTTCTTCTCTTTTCTTCCCAGCCTCTAGTAACCAGCAATCACTTAATAAAAGCTTTATATTTCTGTAAAACATTTCTACTCATTATTTTTAAATATTGAGAAATAGGGTTCAGTCAATTAAACAAATATACTCACTTGCATATTTGAAGAATTAGAAATATTTAGATGTCATTTACCAAGTAGACTGCTACATATGTAAAAAATTTTCTACAATGAATACATTTATTATAGCTTGGCACAGCACAATCATCTCAGATACATTCAGTGAGTATGGATTATTATCCTTTGAGAATTTATAGTTCTTGTTTTGAAATATTCTTTTTTTAAATCTACAAGACAGTTTAGTTAAAATATTATTTAAGTATTTTAAAATTATTTTATTTAAAATATTTTATATCTACATAGCTGTTTTATTTAAATACTTTAATTTTTATATATATTTATTTTTAATATAAATTTTATTTAATTTTTTTAAAATTATGTAATGAAGACAACTATTCACTTTGTGACCTTAAGGTGAGTCCTAGGTGCAACAGAATTGGGGAAACTGACCCAAGCCTGGAGGGTCAAGAGTGGCTTCCTGGGAGTTCATATTAAAAACAAGGAAACAGCAAACACAAAGCTCTAAAAGCCAGATAATTTGATGTATAAACAAATAAACAGAGAATAAAAACTTGAAAGCAATTTAAGATGACTAGAGGAAAAAAAAACCAAAAGAAGGTAAATTAATAAAAGTTTTTCTGTTATATCATATTTACCCTGTGTACCTAATATATAACAAGTAGAAAAAAACTGGAAAAGTACTTAGAAATCCATGGGTCAAGCTTGTAGAAGGACATCAGCATATGTTAGTTTACACCTTTCATCAAAATGCAATAAAGATAGACTGAGGTAAAAAGCTAACTTTGTATTTTCAATAATGAAGGGTGACTATTGAAGGAAGATAGGAGGTGGCATTCAAGGGTATGGTACTGGGGAGGAAAGAGCACAGAAAAATAATGATAATAATAATAGGTTACGCAATTTGCTATAAGTCTGGTACTTTTCTAAGAACTTTAAAAGAATTAATCATTTAATCCTCATGAGAAACCTTGTGAGATACTCACTATTATCTCTCTCAGGTTTGGATAAGAAAAAAAGAACAGGAAATCTTAATAACTTGCCTACAGTTGCATAGCTGAGCCAGAATTTGAAAGCTTAAGCTTAAGCAGTTCTGTGTTTGCATCTGGACTCTACCTAATCTACCAGCTGTATGGTTCTGAGTAAGTAACTAACCTCTCTGAGCCTAAACTATCTCACATTAAAAATGGGGGATAGCAGGGAAATTATAATGATGAGATTTTTAAAATCATTATGTGCTTTCTATATCCCCAATAAAATATTAGTTCTCTTTCTCTTTCTACAATAATTATGGCTCACATTTATTTATTCTTTACTCATGTACTGACTCTTAAGAAAAGACTTAGCGGAAGACATGGAAAGACACCTCAGAATGTTAACAGTTATTACTACTGAGATAAAAAATGTGAGTAGGCTGGATGAAGTGAGAGATATTTCTGATGACCAAGGCCAAGCCCTTCAATTGGTCTTGATCCTTTTGGGGAAATACAAGAAGTAAAAGAAAGCTCACAAAAAGCTGAGAAGAATCTCTACTATCTTCCGGGCCCTAAATCATTCAGTAGAATAGATGAGTAGAATTTGCAGGTATCAAGCATTTAATGTATCCTAGTTTATTTAGACAACTTGGCCAAGTCATACGACAAACAAGTACCCCAGACATGCAACACTTTTTTTTTTTTTTGAGACGGAGCCTCGCTCTGTCGCCCAGGCTGGAGTGCAGTGGCGCAATCTCGGCTCCGGGGTTCACGCCATTCTCCTGCCTCAGCCTCCCAAGTAGCTGGGACTACAGGCGCCCACCACCAAGCCTGGCTAATTTTTTGTATTGTTAGTAGAGACGGGGTTTCACCGTGTTAGCCAGGATGGTCTAGATCTCCTGACCTCATAATCCGCCCGCCTTGGCCTCCCAAAGTGCTGGGATTACAGGCGTGAGCCACCGCACCCGGCCCATGCCACACATCTTTTAAGTACCTTACAAGTTCTCTATTACTCAGGCTCAATAAACTGCTTTTCATTATAATCTTAAACCATATATGTAATTTCACTTTTGTTCTTATCTTTTAGGTCTTCTAGTATTCCCACTCTATATTCCATCCACTTGGGATCACCCTGATAGTGCCCTTATTTTGTGTTTATTTCCATTTCCTCCATTGTGTTTTATTTCATCATCAAAAATATGGAATAAGACTCTATAACTTTGATAAACAGGAGCACCTCAGAAATTTTAATAGTCTGTAGCCTGTTCTTGTCTTGATGACCAGAACAATTTCAACAGAACTCTAAAGTCTACCTTGTTAGTCCACGAGTCATGCCACACTATTTACAAAGCCATCAAATAAAATGTAATTTATATAATACATACTCTACCACCTACTATTATTTTAACAGGGAAATTTTTAAAGTTCATGAAAAATTGAATTAAAAAAATAAAAAATATTAATTTTATTTCCCAACAAGAACTCCATTTATTTAGGATACTTTTATAACCAATAAAACCAGCTATTCAGTCTATCCTTAAAGAACTGAGGGTGGGCCAGGCGCACCCTTTGGGAGGCTGAGGTGGGCAGATCATGAGGTCAAGGGACTGTTGTGGGGTGGGGGCAGGGGGGAGGGATAGCATCGGGAGATATACCTAATGCTAGATGACGAGTTAGTGGGTGCAGCACACCAGCATGGCACATGTATACATATGTAACTAACCTGCACAATGTGCACATGTACCCTAAAACTTAAAGTATAATAAAAAAAAAAAAAAGAGATCGAGACCATCTGGTCAACATGGTGAAACCCCATCTCTACTAAAAATACAAAAATTAGCTGGGCGTGGTGGCAGGTGCCTGTAGTCCCAGCTACTCGGGAGGCTGAGGCAAGAGAATCGCTTGAACCCAGAAGGCAGAGGTTGCAGTGAGCCTAGATTGCACCACTGCACTCCAGCCTGGAGACAGAGCAAGACTCTGTTTAAGAAAAAAAAAAAAAGAACTGAGGTTGGTCCTGGAAATTTAACCATGTCAATACAGATTTTGTACATTATGACCTGAAAAAAAAAATGTGTTTTTTACAGATTTTTGTATATTAGGAAACAAAAAGAAGTCAAAAAGAGCTAAATTAGAACTATAAGGTGGATGCCTAATGATTTCCCATCAAATCTCCTGCAGAATCCTCTGTGTTTAATGAGAGGAATGTGCAGGAGCATTGTCATGATAGAGAAGAACTCTCTGGTGAAGCTATCCTGGGCATTATTCTGTTAAAATTTTGGCTGACTTTCTCAAAACACTCCCATAATAGGCAGATGTTATAATTATTTGATCCTCCATAAAGGCAATATGTGAAATGACTTGAGCATCCCAAAACACTGTTTTCATTATTTTTACTTTTGACTACTCCACTTTTGCGTTGACTAGACTTCTTTCACTTTTTGGTAGCCATTACTTTGATCGGGCTTTGTCTTCAGTATGGTACTTTAAGCCATGTTTCATCTCCTGTTACAATTCTTCAAGAAATACTTCAAGATCTTGATCCCACTTAAAAAAAAATTAATTGAAAGCTCTGCTCTTGCCTGAAGCTGATCTGGGTGCAATAATTTTGGTACCCATTGAGAGGAGTTTGCTCAACTTTAATTTTTCAGTCAGAATTGTACGAGCTGAATCAGTTAAGCTGTCTGTGGTGTTTCCTATTATTTGTGCTGTGCATCGTTGGTCCTCTTGAATCAGAACACAAATAAGATGATTTTTTTTTTTCCTCACAAATGGATGCGGATGGTCTCCTGCAATGGATACTATGGACTTAATCTTCAACATTGTCTTGCTTCTTAAAACAAGTTACCCATTTGTAAACTGCTGATTTTCAGGGGTTGGAGGCATTGTTTCCATTAACTTTACATGAAGCATCAATGATTTCACCATTATTCTTCGACCCAAGCTTTACCATAAATTTGATGTTAGTTCTTACCTCCATTTTAGCACAATTCATGTTGCTCTGATTGGGGCCTTTTTCAAATAGATAAATCATCCTTCTTTCTACCTCAGACTAGATCCTATTCAGACATGTTATAACAAGTTAGAACAAGTTTATTTTGGTACAGAAAATTTCAAATCCATGCATAATTTTTTTCATAATATGCATTTTCCATGAACTTTATAAAGTCTCTTATGTATCTTAACGTAAGATACTCTGTTTTTATTTCTGCATGCTGTTTTTTACATTCTATTTTTTGTTGTTATTAATAACAAAGAAGAAAACTCAAGAGATAATTCTGATATGTACTCAAGTTTAAAAACCATGGATTTACATAAAAATTTGACATAAATAAGAGAAAATGGGCAGGAAGTGTTTGTAAGCTGAGAGAGAGAAGGTAGTTTCTAAGTTTTGCACTATTTAAAGAACTTCACATTAAACAGCAAAACAATTTCCCACTGTTTTATAATTTTTATATATAAAATATCATTGTAAGCCTTTGCAGTAAATTCTTTCATTTTATGTTGCTTCAGCATCCATTCTGAACTTTCTCATACCAGAAGCAGTGCTTAGTCTCCTTTGACACAGCTTCTAGTTATACACCACAGCCAAATGGTGCAAGTTGGTGCCGAGAAGTAAGAACTTAGAGGCATCTCTCCCATCTAGCATTCTGGGCTCCCACTTTCCTGCTGATTTATTTAATAAAACTTTCAGTTATTTGCCCAATAACTTAGAGTAATCCATATCCTATTCCCTTGCATATACTGCAAGTTACAAAGATGCTTCTCTCTCTCCCTTCCTGATTCTTTATTTTTACCTTGCATGACCTGGGGGACAATGGACTGCCAAATTATACCCTCTTTGCCCAAGAGATATAAGTCAAAAACTTAGAACTTGTTTCTATTGTGGTGGTGCACTGAATTTGTGCTTTCCATTTGAAAAACTAGGGGCTGCCCCAGGCTGGTTTTACCCCAGCCTACCAGAAAAAGGGGAGGGAGTGGTGACACAAGTTTGGCTTCCAGAGTCAGAGTGATGGTCAGGCAGACATAAACTGAATATAAGCCAGATAAGAGCCACAAGTTTGTCCAACAGTGTAAACAAGTTCCCTGTGTGAGGGATCCCTGGTAGCGAGTCCCACAATCACAAGGAAACATTAGGCCACTTGCCCCGTAAATGAATTATCCCAGGAAAGGCACTGTAAACACCCACATCTAGCTCCTCTTCAAACCCCAGTTTTGCTGAGGGCTCTCAAAACATCCTTTAACTTGCATATTCTCATGTAATCCTTACAGCATTATAGGGTATACATTTTTATTACTCTCATTTTACAGATGAAAAAAAGGCAAAGATTAATAAATGCTCCCAAGTCTATACACCTAGCAAGTATTGAAATCACCGTAAATGCAGTTTCTGTGACTCAAGACACTGAATTTTCAAACAGCATATAAGAACAGCATATTTGACAACATGAAAAATGGCAAAAAAAAAAAAAAAAACACAATCTGGAATGAGAAAACCCATATTTGAGTTTCAAATTTCCATTTAGTAACTGAGTATTCATGAAAAACTCACTACTCCTAAATAAATCTCAGTATTTTCATTTCTTAAGAAAATACAATGTATGAGATTGTGCATTCACTAAGATAACAGTGGAGGTAATAACTGAAATGTCAGTGGTTTAATAACACAAGAGTTTATTTCTCATTTACCTAAAGTCCAGAGATTTTTCTGATCAGCAGGTAGTTCTAGTCCAAAAAGGGTTTCAGTATCTTTCTGTGCTGTGACCACACCAACACCTGGCTCCCATGTTCTTCCTAGTATTTGTCTCTATTCTACCCAGATAAATTAACATAGAGTATCATTATAAGATATGTTTTAACTATGCACATCACCCATTGACCAGAACTCAATCACACTGTTATTCCTAACTTCTATGTAGTCTTCAAAATGTAGTGTGGCTATGTTCCCAGGAAGAAAAGGTACGGCTTTGACCTGAGTCAGCAATCTCCTCCATAAAGTGTATATGTAAAAATCCATTTCTTGGATAATTAGTCATTAGTTGTTATTATTGTCATGTTAAGCCTTCAGTGCCCTTGGAAGTGCTGTACTTTTCAAGTGATATGTATGATTCAAGAGTATAAACCTTTGTGGAGCTAGCCAATACTGAAACAAAGAGGGCATTTTAATATAGAAAAATGTAAAACAAAAAGTGAACTACCTTGAGTAGACAGCTACATGGCATTTCTCCAAAACAAAATGTCTCTTTTTTTTTTTCTGGCTAAACTAAGGTTACATAACCATCCAGAGAGAATCCCAAAGCAGGAGGGTGTGCTACATAAAAATCTTTGTCTCTTTTATTACAAACTACCCCATTTGCATTCCAAATACCTGCAGCTGATCTAATTAAGGCCTGAAGAGGGAAAAAGAGAAGAGAGATAATTTAATTCAATATATAATTATTATAGAACTGGGTACCTTTTTTCAACAAATGAAAAAACTATGAATAACTTTTCACATACTAATTGAATAACTCCAGTTGAATCAATATTTTAAAAAATGATACATATACTCATATGCCCACTACAGAGAAAAAAATAGTATTCAGAATATTTAATTGGCTGAGCATTTTCTCACTCCCTGAGAGATTATCTCTCTATATTGAAATATCTATATAGATAGATAGCTTTACAAATATTTGCACATATCCACAAATTTTCAAAGAATTTGAGACTATTTATAAAGTCTAATACCAACAAAAAGAGGATTATATCTTAACAGATTAACAAATAATATGGGACTGAATTGAGGTGCTCTCAAAAGCCAGACTAAGGTTTTACTCTAAAATCTAAACTAGTATCTATATCCACATTAGAGAATTAGTAACCTGTGAGAGTAGAATAAGATGCTGTGCATAAGTGAACGATGGACTAGTTTGGTAAAATTCAGCATTCTAAACCCTGTGATTTGGAAATTTACCGATTATCATCATGCAGAAAACAGATGTATGCTCTGCATGGAAAAGGGGTACAATAGTAAAAAAAAAAAATTGACTAATCATGAGTGTCAGGAGAGAGAGAAAGAAGTACAAGTTTGTTGGCCCTACTCAGTTCAGCATTTTAACACTGTTCAAGATGGATGGAGTTCTGGCTAATCTCAGGTAAACAATCAGATTGCAAAAGTTAGATTACCTTACCTGAGAGATACTTACATCAGCTAATTTATTTCTTGTTCTCTATTCAAACTTCTTAAGAACTTTTCTTTCAATGTGTTTTTCCATAGAGAGAGAACATGCTGAAGAACCTCAAACATTCTGAGTCTCTTGACAGTTTTTGCTGTATAAATGAACAATAATATCTTCTTTATCCATGTTATTGGTTTATAACTATCAGTCTCTGTGAAATTGATTAATGTGGGCCTGTCCACAGAGAGAGCTTCCATCTTAAAGTGCAAACAAATTGAACTTGGAAGACTGTAATCTAGTCTATGCCTTATGACAAATCTTCTAAGGCAAATGCAACTGAGTTTTGGAGCAACCAGCCCCTGCTGCGCATGTAACATAACTTAGTTCTAGTGTCCTGCTTTCCTAGAAAATCTTGGTTGCAAAATTTTGTTTCATAATTTTCTAAATTTCTTCAAATCGGACATTTAATTCTAGATTATTGTGAGATTGTTTAATTTACGGGTCATTTAAGTTCTAGATTGTTTTTCTCTTCTCTTTGAATTGCATTCTTCAGTTTCAGAATTTCTGCTTGATTCTTTTTTATTTCAATCTCTTTATTAAATTTATCTAACAGAATTCTGAATTTCTTCTCTGTGTTATCTTGAATTTCTCTGAGTTTCCTCAAAACATCGATTTTTAATTCTTTTTGAAAGGTTAGATATCTCTGTTTCTCCAGGATAGGACCTCATATCTCATTTAGTTCATTTGGTGAGGTCATGTTTTTTGGAATGTCTTAATACTTGTAGGTGTTTGCATCTTGGCTCTGGGCATTGAAATGTTAGGTATTTATTTTAGTCGTCTCAGTCTGGACTCATTTGCACCCATCTTTCTTGGAAAGGATTTTCAGAAATGCAAAAGGTCTTGGGTTTTGTAATGTAAGGTATGTCTGCTTTAGGGGGCATTCCAAGCCCAGTAATGCTGTGCTTCTTGTAGACTGGTAGAGGTTCTGACTTGATGGTCTTGAACCAGATCCTGGAGAATTCTCTGGATTACCAGCCAGAGACTCTTGTTCTCTTACCTTACTTTCTTTTAAACAAACAGAGCCTTTCTCCATTATGAGTCACCTGAACTTGGAAGCGGAGTGACATATGCACCCTTATGTCCACCACCACTATAATTACACTGTGCCAGACCTGAAGCCAACACAGCACTGGGTCTTGCCCAAGGATTGCTGTAACCACTTCTTGGCTACTGCCTATGTTAGCTGAAGGCCCTGGTGCTGTACAATCAGGAGGTGGCAAAGATCAGCCAGATCTGTGTCCTTGCCTGCAGGGTGACAAGGTCCCCCATGCCCCAGGTGGTTCTAGAGGTGCCATCTGGGAGCCAGAAACTACAGTAAAAAACCTTACAGTCTAGCTGGTGTTCTATTATATTGTGGTTGAGCTGGCACTCAAACAACATGATGCAATTCTTTCCATTCTTCTCTCCTGTTTCCAAAATCAGAGCAGCCTCACCCCAAGGCCATTGCCACCATAGGCCTATGAGGAGGACTGCCAGACTACTGTTCCTTTAAGGCATGAGGGCTCTTCATTCAGCCTGTGGTGAATTTCCCTGGCCTGGGACATACTCTTCAGGGGTGTGGGCTCCCCTCTGGTGCAGGACAGGTCCAGAAATACTATTCAAGAGCCAAGTCCTAGAATCAGGGACCCCAACAGCCAAGTTGGTGCTCTACCCTCCTGTAGTCAAGCAAGAAAAAGTTCCCTTTACTTTTCCCTCTGCTTTTCTCAAGCAGAAGAGGTCTCGTCCCAAAGCCACTACAGATGGAAATGTGTTGAGTTTCACCTGAAGCCAGCAAGAGTCTCAGGGTCTCACCTAAGGCCCTCAATGTAGTACCTGGGTATTGCTGCTAATTATTCAGGGTCCAAGGTCTCTTCAGTTAACAGGCAATGAATCCTGCCAAAACTGGCTCCTTCCCTTCAAGGCAGCAGATCCTTCTGGCCCAGGGTGTGTCTAGAAATATCCAGGAGCTAGGGCCTAGAAAGAGGACCTTACAACTCTGACCGATGACCTACCCTGCTTTGGCTGAGCTAGTATCCAAGATGCAAGACAAAGTCCTCTCCTCTCCTCAAGTGGCATCATTAATTCAAGAATGTTTTTTGTACCTCTTCAGTGCCTCTTTCAGCAGTGTGTAGTTAAAACCAAGTACTGTGAGGGCTCACCTGATTTTTGGTTCTTATGAAGGTGCTTTTATTGTGTAGATAGTTGGTAAATTGGTCTCTTTGCAGGGGGTGAGGAGAACAATCAGTAGAGCCTTCTGTTCTACCATCTTGTTCTGCCTCTTCCATTCACAAAATCTTAAGTATGGAAGAAATATGACATTTATTCAGCATTTTTCAAAAGTTGAGCATGAAAGCTATAGCCCAAGAAAACTCACCACAGCAAAAATTGTACAGGCTACATTGCTAATCACAACTAAATAAATCTGGAGACTTACAGTAAAAATTTAAGAAAAAAGTCCGTTCAAAGTGTTAATGTATCCCCAATAATTGTTTTTTCTAGGAAATTTTTGCAAAGCTACAGTCACATAGTATTTACAAAATTACAAACTGCAAATAACTTCTGTCAAAATGTAAGGGAACTTACTAAAACTGTAATTAAAGGCATAGCCTTAAATGCCATTTTCATTAAAAGCAAATATTTTAACAAAAAACAGGCATTTGACTTAAGATGATAAAAAAGTGATAAAACCTCAGAAAAGCATGGGAAAATAATTATACAAGTAAAAATAGAAAATAATTAAAAATAAAATAATTATATAACTTTTACTTTTGTACATTTTTTTGATTATGTGTACATAAGAGTTATATATATTTCTGCGGTTTATATGATATTTTGATACAGGTATACAATGTGTAATGATGAAATCAAGGTAATTGGGGGTATCCACCACCTCAAGCTCTTTAAATTTCTTTGTGTTGAGAACATTCCAGTTCCACTCTTTTCCTTAGTGTAAAATATACAATAACTATTGTTAACTATTATCACCATGTTGAGCTACCAAATACTAGATCTTATTCATTCTATCTGATTCTATTTTTGTGCCTATTGGCCATCCCCATTTATCACCAACCATCTCTGCTACCCTTCTGAGCCTTTGGCAATCATCATACCACTCTATATCTCCATGAGTTCAATTTTTTTTGACCTCCAAATATGAGCAAAGACATGCAATATTTGTTGTTCTGTACCTGGTTTATTTCACTTAATATAATGTCTTAGTTTCCTCTGTGTTTTTGCAAATAGCAGGATTTCATCCTTGTATGGCTTAATATTCCATTGTATGTTTGTACCATATTTTCTTTAACCATTCATCTGTT